>NC_000022.11:35527745-35679260 GCF_000001405.40 Homo sapiens | reverse complement strand
TAATCCCTAGAAACTATAAATATGCTATGTTACCTGGCAAGAGGGACATTGCAGATGTAATTAAAGTTACTAATGAGTTGACATTAAAAGACAGAGATTATCTGGATGGGACTAATCTAATCATACGGGCCCTTAGAAGCAGAGAACATTCCCTGGCTGGAGGTAGAGAGATGCGGCAGAAGAGGAAGTCAGAAGTCTCAAAGTGTGACAAGGACTTGAGTCATTGTTCTGGAAATCATGAGAAGTAGTCAGTTCTACCAATGACATGAAGACACCTAGAAGCAGTTTCTCCCCTGGAGTATCCAGACAATAGCCCAGGCCATCCAACACCTTGACTTTGGTAGTTGGATGCTAAGACAAGGTTGGGCATGGTGGCTCATTCCTGTGATCCCACCACTTTGGGAGGCCAAGACAGAGGGATTGCTTGAGCCCAGGAGTTCGAGACCAGCCTGGGTAATGTGGCGAGACCCCCATCTCAAAAAAAAAAAAAAAAAAAAGGCCAAGATAAGATTGGGAACCCAGTTGAGCTTTACCTAGACTTCTCACCTACAGAACTGTGAGACAATAAGTGTGTATTGTTTTAAGCCACTACATTTGTGGTAATTTATTGCAGCATCCATAGAAAGCATATACAGTGAATATGGACCGGATGGGAATAAAAGGGAGCTGTCTGGAGTGCTGGAAACATTCCGTATCTTCATCAAGTGGTAGTTATGTGGTGGATAAGTAAGTAAACATTAATTAAACTGCACACTTCATATTTTAAAACCTAATTTAAAATAGAAAATGAGCAAAAAATTGATCATCCTTATATTGTTAAGTTACAGCTCTATTGCAGTATGGTCATAGAAGGCAGCTTCTATAATTACTTTAAAAAAATCTTATTGGGATTTTCTTTGTAGATTAGTGCTTGATATATTTTTACAAATGATCCCGAAGCATTTGAAAGAAATTTATTCTTTGCTTGTAAGGAGCAAATGTATGGGTGTAAATTAAGCTTTTAAATTGCTTTATATAGGAGGAAACACTTATTTTGCTTTTTCTTGTTTCTATGTGCTGGAACTTTTATGGGAGCAAAGCTCCCAGCCTCCTGCAGGGAGGGGGTGAAATGTATCTGTTAATCTTTGAAGGAGTGGAGTCATGCCTAGCTTAGCCCTTTCTTCTCAACTTTCCTTAGGATCTACCTACATACAGGAGAGCACGTATTTAGTTCTGCTCCTTCAAGCTGCAGGTGTCAGAGAGACAAGCCCTGTTGGAGAGGCACACAGTTGTCCAGGGTTCCTGCTCCAGGGATGGATAATCTGTCCAGTGGTGGGGTGAAATATTCATAAGCCCACATGGCTCGGAGAGAAGGAACCTCATTCTCTAACAGCTTCATCAGTAATTAAGGCGCTATTTCTATCTCCATCTGCCTAATTCTTGTGTCTATTTCTGGGTTATTGCATGGGGCCAGAAACGTTGTACAAAGAGTGCAATTTAAGGGGCAAAATAACACCCAGAGATTGTGTTGCCTGAGCCTAAATTCCGGCCTTTGGCTTTGGGTTACAAAAGTCATGCGGGGTCATGGACTTGGCACCCACAGAGCTGGGTAGCTGCTGAAAATAGAGCCAGGGTTTTTTTGTTTGTTTGTTTGTTTGCTTTACCGGAATAGCTCTTAGTTGATGACAGCCCCTGTGGCCTTAACAAACAGGTGCAGCTGAGAGAATGAATAAATTACAGGAATGAAAATTTCTGCTTACAAATCTTTTAGGTATTGGTTGCTGGGGCTGGGGAAGTTTTTTTTTCTCCTTTTACAGAGTTTCTCAGCCAGGGCTGTACTCGGTACCTTTAAACTGCAACATGAGTTGTGTTTCACATTTGCTGTAGGGAACTACTGTGGACAAGAACCAGCTTTAAATTGTTAGTGCCTCTTAACCGAGGAGGTGAAAGACTTGTATCCTGAAAACTACAAAATGTTGCTGAAAGAAACTAAAGAAGACATCAATAAATGGAAAGACATACTGTGTTCATGGATTGGAAGACAATATTGTTTAGATGTTAATACTACCCAAAGAGATCAACAGATTCATTGTAAGCTCTAACAAAATCCCAACAACATTTTTCGCAGAAGTAGAAAAATTCATCCTAGAATTTATATGGACTCTTAAGGGACTCTGAATAGCCATTACAATATTGAAAAAGAACAAAACAGGAGGGCTCAGCCAGGTGCAGTGGCTCACACCTGTAATCCCATCACTTTGGGAGGCCAAGGCAGGTGGATCACTTGTGGTCAGGAGTTCAAGACCAGCCTGGCCAACATGGTGAAACCCCATCTCTACTAAAAATACAAAAATTAGCCAGGCATGGTGGGGGGTGTCTGTAATCGCAGCTACTCGGGAGGCTGAGACAGGAGATCACTTGAATCTGGGAGGTGGATGTTGCAGTGAGCCAAGATTTTGGCACTGCGCTCCAGCCTGGGTGACAGAGCAAGGCTCTGTCTCAAAAAAAAAAAAAAGGAAAAAAACACCTGTGGTAAACTAAAGCATTGAACTGTAGAAAATACTGCAGAGGCCTCAAAAATAGTCAAACTCTGTAAAATATTTGAAGAAATTTATTCTGGGCCAAATATGAGTGACCATGGTCCATGACATAGCCATCAGGAGATCCTGAGAACTTATGCCCAAGGTGGTCAGGGTGAAGCTTGGTTTTATATATTTTAGGGAGACATGAGACATCAGTCAAATATATTTAAGATATATATTGGTCCAGTCTGGAAAGCTGGTGCAGGATATAATAAATTCCTCCTCAAAGGTTTTAGCCTGTTAACTTCCTTTAAAATTCAAGAGGGAGAAAATTGTTAAGTACAATGAGTTCTGAGATCCTCTCCAAAAAACCAATGTATCAGTATGTTCAGCTCCCCTGTTCTTTGTTCTCTATTTTAAAGTTTAACTTCCTCATTCTTTATGTCTCCTTGCCCCTAGTTTCAGTAAACAATCCCCTCCTATCCTCTATCACCTGCTCTGTCCCTAGTCATCCTTAGTCACCTGCTCTGTAACCATCCTTCCCGCTGAAAACACTCACCCCACCACTCTGGCTCTTACCCCCACTCTCTTTAAAATAGCCAATTGGAATTAGCTTAGACTGTATGGTCCAACCCTAGCCAATAGGGGAAAGGCACAGCAGTAGGGACTAGCTGCATTAGGAATAAGACCCCCTTCCCCTCCCTTGTCCAGTGTGCTCTTGCCTTTGCTCCATCTGCGAGACGCACCTTTCTATAGAAGTAAATTGCCTTGCTGAGAAAACTTTTGCCTGAGTGCTATTTTCACTTGGCGGCACTGAGCGTTTACTTCCAACATTGGGACAACTTGTTGGGGAGGTGGGTGTTTCCAGTTTATAGGGTTATAGGTAGATTTAAAAATTTTTCTGATTGGCAATTGGTTGAAAGAATTATTAACAATAGGGCCAGGCCCAGTGGCTCAGGCCTGTAATCCCAGCACTTTGGGAGGCTGAGGCGGGCGGATCACAATGTCAGGAGTTTGAGACCAGCCTGACCAACATAGTGAAACCCCATCTCTACTAAAAATGCAAAAAAAATTAACAGGGTGTGGTAGTGGGTACCTGTGGTCCCAGCTACTCAGGAGGCTGAGGCGGGAGAATTGCTTGAACCCGGGAGGCAGAGGTTGCAGTGAGCTGAGATCACCCCATTGCACTCCAGCCTAGGCATAGTGTGAGACTCTGTCTCTGGAAAAAAAAAAAAAAAGTTTTTGGAGACCAGAGCTTTATCTTGCAGACGAAGTCTCCAGATAGCAGGCTTAAGTTCTGTGTTGATGTGAAATGCTGGTTGGCTTTTCCTGAATTCCAAAAGAGAGGAGGGCATACTGAGGCATCTCCGAACTCCCACTTCCCGTCATGACCTGAACCAGTCTTTCAGGTTAAATTTAGAGGGCTCCGACCTGGAAGAAGAAGTCCATTCAGATGGTTGTTGGGGTGGGGGGGCTTTGAATTTTATTTTGGTTTACAAAGGTCTCTCTCTGACTTTCTGCCACTGCCCCCTTCCCTTCCAAAGCAGAGAGAAGGGCTTTCTTTGAAGTTTTCTTGTTTAATTAAGGGAAATTCTGTCCAGAAGGAATGCAATTGTCTTGGACCACCCTCCCTGGAATCTACCTCAACTAGAGAAGATTAACTCATATTGCAGGAGAGGAGAACAATGAAAAGCCACTCAAGACACCAACCTAGATAGACTTTTTGCCTATTTCTTCAACTACAGTAAGAACAGCAAGACAAAAAGTTACAGATCTGTAGGCAAATGAGAAAATTGGAAATTAGAAAGAAAACTCAGTGGGTTGCAGAAACATATGTTATAATGCATATTTTGTAATGCAGCCTTGAGAAAGGGTCCCCAGCAGGTAGTCTAATGACTTAAAGCCAGCATTTCAGCCCCCAAAGCAAGAAAAGCACAGGAAGGAATTTCTATGCCAAAATACCAACAGTTGTCACTTTTAATTAGTGCATTATTTCTTCCTATGTTTTAGTTTCCTGAATTCAAAAAAAATGTATTTAATGTCTATGCACTACTTTCAAAATAGCAGCTAAATCAGATAAAATTAAAAAATATATATTTTTAAGATAGGTGAGCTGGGCAGCCAGGAGAACTCCTACATGTTCTGAAGTCCTGAAGGAGCTTCAAGGATTTGAGTCTTGGGGGCATGCAGAAGGGCTCTCTCCTTCCCACTGGAATGTGGTTGAGCAGGTTCCAGTGACATCCTTTTTTGTGGAGACCCAGGATCCCACCCAGGATGACTGCCAGGGTTGGAGAGGAAGAGAACACAGAGAGGCAACAAGAGGGTGAGTTGATATGGAAGAGAGAACACAAAATACATTTCTCCCAGGAATCCTCCTGTCTTATCATTGGCTCTTACTATAGAAGCTGGCATAAAACAATACAGGCCTACTGAGGACTGACTGTGCATGCAGGTGAGTGAACGTGTTACTGGAAACAGGTCCCCATCCAGACCTCAAGAGAGGGTTCTTGGATCTTGCACAAGAAAGGACTCAGGGCAAGTATGCAGAGTAAAGTGAAAGCAAGTTTATTAAGAAAGTAAAGGAATAAAAGAATGGGCCAGGCGCAGTGTCTCATGCCTGTAATCCCAGCACTTTGGGAGGCCGAGGCAGGTGGATCATAGGTCAGGAGTTTGAGAGCAGCCTGGCCAACATGGTGAAACCCCATCTCTACTAAAAATACAAAAATTAGCTGGGTGTGGTGACACATGCCTATAACCCCAGCTACTAGGGAGGCTGAGGCAGGAGAATCACTTGAACCTGGGAGGCAGAGATTGCAGTGAGCCAAGATGGTGCCACTGCACTCCATCCTGGGCAACAGAGCAAGACTCCATCTCAGAAAAAAAAAAAAAAGAATGGCTACCCCATAGACAGAGCAACCCTGAGGGCTGCTTGTTGCCCATTTTTATGGTTATTTCTTGATTATATGCTAAACAAGGGGTGTATTATTCATGCCTCCCCTTTTTAGACCATAGAGGGTAACTTCCTGACATTGCCATGGCATCTGTAAACTGTCATGGCTCTAATGAGAGTGGAGCAGTGAGGACGACCAGAGGTCATTCTCATCGCCATCTCGGTTTTGGTGGGTTTTAGCCAGCTTCTTTATTGCAACCTCTTTTATCATCAAGGTATTTATGACCTGTATCTTGTACTGACCTCCTGTCTCATCCTGTGGCTTAGAATGCCTAACTGTCTGGGAATGCAACCCAGGAGGTCTCAGCCTTATTTTACCCGGCCTCTGTTCAAGATGGAGTTGCTCTGGTTTAAACACCTCTTACATTTCCCTCCTCCCTTTTATAAGAGAACCCTTAATCATAAGGGTTGCGGAGGGACTAAGATCCACCTTCTGTAACTTCTTCATACTGAATAGGGGTGATGATATTCCTAACCTAACTGTGAGAGTCCTTTGTATTAGGGTAGAGAGGAGCTCAGTCAGAAAGCATCAGCATAGTAATGGCCATTCCTAACTCTGAGTTTCGACAAGAGGTGATATCTGGAAGATTAATAAGTGTTTAAGAAAACATTGAGAAAGCATATCCTTATTCCTACACAACAAGATTTCAATAGCAATATATTCCACAACTGTAAAGCAAAATAAGTAAAATTATTCCAAGTAAACTAAATTAGAAGGCTTTCCATGAACTGGGCAACTGTTGGAGCCAAGCTGATACAGGGTTGATAGGCAGAATTAGAATATTGATTCACATTTTACATTACCCATCTGTCTTGTTTCTTTTAAGCAGCAGTCAGAGATCACTGGTTGGTTTACAGGAATAAGCAGGGTTAGCCTAAATTGCAGAAACAAACTTAAAAACAACTGATGAGACTAGAATTTAATAACAAGTGTACCATAGTTTTTGAAACATAGTATTTCTCTCTCCAGTTTCCCATTTTGACTAAAGACAAATTATGGCAAGATCAATTTGCCTTTTTATACTTGGCCTAATTATTTGTCTAAAGTGCTGCAAGAATAATTATTTTTTACATAAGCTCTTTGTAAATTGGCTTTGATGGAACTCTGTTCCATAGAAGGAATTTTAGATAAGGCTTTTATTAGAGCCGAGCCTTGCCATGGGTTTGTACCCTCAAATATCTATGAATTGAGTAAATTCCTCTCCTCTTGAGGTTCCAAGATAACTTGGGACCCCTGGGCCTGATAGAAAATGACATTCTTTACTTACCACAGGTCAGAAACCCTATACAGGGACTGTGGAAGCAAGGTATCAGGCCAGTTTTCCCAAGGGATTTTATTGGCTCTACAAGTCAAGTTTGATTCCTTAAAGGAAAGCACACTATTCCCGTCAAAGTCTTGGTAAAATAACCAGTTTTTCCAATTGTGCCCTGCTACAAAAGAAAACAGATTCTAATTGCACTTATGCAAATAACTATACTGCCATAAGTTAAGAATTCTAGCAACTAGTTTTCAAATTCTGGAGAAATCAGGTAGAGAGAAACAAATATGCTCCAAATTTTGTTCACAGGAGTATACTTTACTCAACTGTTAAAAGCTATAAATAGCTCAAAAGAAAAATTTCCTTGTCTCTAAAAACAAAACAAAGGATCAGAAACATTTTAAGCAAAGTAAAAAGCAAAAGATTCCTTCAAACTTCTACTGGTTTACTCCATGCAGTTAACTCCTGTTCTGTTTGATAACTATGAACATTTCAGCTCTCCATGAGAGTTCTGAAAGTTTTTCCTCTATTCTGATGTCACAATTTCCAAAGTTATCAGAACCCTGCACTCAAGAACACTTGTTAGAGTTTTATAGTTGATTATAAACCACCTTTTAAAGAGGGTTAAAACAAGACAATTGTTTGTGGGTGACGAAACATCTTAGGACAACCACAGTCAAAAACATGATAAACAAAGAAATTTGGTTACCTCTGTGGCATACAATGATTTTATATAACAATTGTAATTATTAATAACATACTCTAAGTCATATCATAATTATAGGAGTTTTTTAAAAAAATAATTTTGGAACACATACCAGTAACATTTATACAAATACAGCCCAAAGAAAGCCAAACACCATTTCATATTTGATGATGCTTCCTCTATGACTTTTATACTAAATCAGCCAAATGTCACTGTTGCATTAGTGTATTATTGATGTCAAACCCAATTCTTAATAAAACCTTATAGACATATCTACCCAATTTTAATGTTTGACCATAAGGTAACATTCTCATAAACCTTTTATAATCCTTTACAAATGTTTGTTAAAAAGCAGGTCATAAGCAGGTTTTTGCTCTAACAAAAACCTGTTTTGCTTTTATTCCAATGTTTAATTTATGGAAAAACTGAATAATGCCTTTTCAACTTTAGCCAATATATTCACACACAAAATCTCTTACAATTAATTTTTTAAATAAACCTTCCACAACTTGCTTAAACCTTCAGCTTTATTCTATCTAACTTAAAATAATCCTCTAACCCTTTAGGCAAAGTAAAGAAAACTCATGGCCGGGCACAATGGCTCATGCCTGTAATCCCAGCACTTTGGGAAGCCGAGGCAGGTGGATCACGAGGTCAGGAGATCGAGACCATCCTGGCTAACACGGTGAAACCCCGTCTCTACTAAAAAATACAAAAAGTTAGCTGGGCGTGGTGGCGGGCGCCTGTAGTCCCAGCTACTCGGGAGGCTGAGGCAGGAGAATGGCATGAACCCAGGAGATGGAGCTTGCAGTGAGCCGAGATCGCACCACTGCACTTCAGCCTGGGCAACAGAGTGAGACTCCGTCTCAAAAAAAAAAAAAAAAAAAAAAATTCACACTCCCGTGACTTCTTATAATTTTTTTTTAACCAAAAACACATTTCACTTTCCTTATAGGACTTACTTGTGGAACTGTTTCTTTAGTAGTCTTAATTACATGTTACAATGTTAACTCTTAAGAACTTTTACTTTTGGTGAAAAACCTGGTTAGTAAGTGATATTAATTAGGTACCAGGTGTGGAGACTAGGCTACCAGAGGGTCTGACTATTTCCAACATAACTAGAGGGCATGGCTAACGCCGCATGTCCCAGGCCTTATCTAGAATCTAATACTCCAAAATAAATTGAACAATTTTTAAAAGCCAAAGAAGCAGTTTATGACCTTACTATATTTAGTAAACCTAATATCTGACCTGCATAATTTAGACCAAATGTTTACATTTTTAAAAATATTTTTATGTTACCAATAATCTTCAAAACTGTCTTTGTTTCCCAAAGGTTAAAGTTACACGAACTAAATAAAAGGCATTATACTTTTTAATTTTCTGACAAAATATTTGATTTAAGCTCTTATTATTATTAAACCAAATTAATCAAACCTCCTTCATATATAAACATCACACACACAACCCATATAAATACACAGACAGACAGAAGATAAAGGACTCATCCCCTAAGCCAGGAATTGGACCCTGAATCCAGGTCACCATTGTGAAAAAAGAAAGCACAGCCACATGGTTATAAGGTCAAGTTCCCAAGGACATACAAGACAAGAAGGAAACCTCATTCAATTTTTTTCAGGGACCTGCAGAAAAGTTTGTAACTTTCCAGTTTGCTGGGCCATCTGAAAATGGGCTTACAGGTGTCCTAAGCCCATGTTTTATCCTAAGGTACCCCTCTTGGTGACAGAACAATATAGAAAGACACACAAAACACGCCAGATTCACTACAGCTTAAGATTAGCCTCGTGAATCCTTTCTCCCATTAATCAAAAGTTTATAGGAGATAAACAGTGATTTTTACCATTCCTTCGACCAGTTTGCACAGAGAGAGAGAGGAAAGGGAAGGGAGAAAAGCACTGCTTATGGCAGGGTGGGGAAGGCAAGGCGCTCAGGGAGACCAGAGAAAGACCTGCCCATTGCAGCAGACACTGAATCAAAAGTTCAGGCGGTCACTTGTCAGTTGAGAAGGGATCTTTTCCAGCAGGCCCAGCAGCTCTGAAGTTTCCCCTTTTAGGGAAGAAAAAGCTCCTCATGTCCCGTGATCACAGGATCACATGCCTAATCCTGTCACCCATAGCCATCAGCAAAGAGTGCAACACAGATTAATCCAAAGAGAATGGCAGTTAACATCCCTTAGTGCCAAACCCGTTCTTAACCATGAGGGACTTTACTGAGAGGGGCCTCTAACCCCTTAAATCTTAGGAAGGACTCTAACCCTCCTAAGTTGGCCCTCTAAACCAAGTTTGGTCAAGCATCCTTGCCATTTATTAAGAGGGGCCTTTAACCCAGTCTGTCTTAGCAGAGACCCAAACTTCCCTAAATTGGGCCTCTAACCCAATCCCATCTTTTACCTGGGTACCCCACCACTTGCCCAAGGTCGGCCTATCAATGATGTAGTCTATTTCCTTTGCATTGGGAGGTTTCTTCAGTATTGTCCTTTTGGGTTTGCCAGAAAGATGTTACAGGACCCTATCACTTACTCAAAGTTAGCCTTTGGGTTGAGGGTTTCTGCACTGTAGTCCCTTCTGTGGTTGCCAGAAAGATGTTACAGGAAAGGGGTCCCAATCCAGACCCCAAGAAAGGGTTTTTGGATCTCGCACAAGAAAGAATTCAGGGCAAGTACGTAAAGCAAAAGCAAGTTTATTAAGAAAGTAGAGGAATAAAAGAATGTCTACTCCATAGAGCATCCCTGAGGGCTACCGGTTGCCCATTTTTATGGTTATTTCTTGATTATATGCCAAACAAGGGGTGGATTATTCATGCCTCCCCTTTTGAGACCATATAGGATGACTTCTTGACATTGCCATGGCATCGTAAACTGTCATGGCTCTAATGGTAGTGTAGCAGTGAGGATAAACAGAGGTCACTCTTATCGTCATCTCAGTTTTGGTGGGTTTTAGCCAGCTTCTTTATTGCAACCTATTTTATCAGTAAGGTCTTTATTATCTGTATTTTGCTGACCTCCTATCTCATCCTGTGGCTTAGAACGCCTTAACCTCCTGGGAATGCAGCCCAGGAGGTCTCAGCCTTATTTTACCCAGCCCCTATTCAAGATGGAGTTGCTCTGGTTCAAACGCCTCTGACAAACGGGGAACTGAAACAGCAGAGAGACTGAGTTACAGCGAAGGAATGAGGATGGAGATGGGGGGCAGGAGGACCATTACAACACTCACTAGTGAGGGCTGCTAGTGCCCTCTTAGGTAGACTTGTCCCTCCCAAGTCTAAGGGACCTACTTGGACCTCCCATTTGGTAAGTCTCTGGGTTTCTCCTCTGCCAGCCTTGCCAGCCCTGCCCTGGTCCCCTGTAACCCCATTCAGAGGCCCCTGGGGTAGTTAAAAGCCCACCTTTGTGTTGACAAAAAGAGTTAAACTCTGTAAAATATTTGAAGAGATTTATTCTGAGCCAAATGTAAGTGAACATGGCCTGTGACACAGCCCTCAGGAGACCCTGAGAACATGTGCTCCAGGTGGTCGGGGAACAGCGTGGTTTTATACATTTTAGGGAGACATGAGAGATCAATCAAATACATTTAAGATATACATTGGTCCTGTCCAGAAAGGCAAAACAACTTGATGTGGGGGCTTCTAGATTATAGGTAGATATAACAATTTTCTGATTGGCAATTGGTTGAAAGAGTAATTATCGATAGAAAGGAATGCCTGGGTTGTAAGAGGTTGTGGAGACCAAAGTTTTATCATGCAGATGAAGCCTCCAGGTAGAAGACTTCAGAGAGAATAGATTGTAAATGCTTCTTATCAGCCTTAAGGTCTGTGTTGATGTTAATGCTGGAGGGTATGATGAGGCATGTTCGACTCCCACTTCCCATCATGGCCTGAACCAGTCTTTCAGGTTTAATTTTCGAGTGTCCTGGCCCAGAAGGAAGTCCATTTAGATGGTTGAGGGGGCCTCAGAATTTTGTTTAGTCCCCATGGCTCCCTCTAAAGTTGAACTCATAGTCCTTTCTTCTTGCAAGAGTTCCTGTAAGAAAAAAAATAAAACAACACCAAAAACACTAATCACAGGAAAACTCCAAAGCTTTAGGTGCAACATGGTGGGGAAGTTAAAAGCACAGCTTGGAAGTCAGGCTTCTTGGGTTGCTGACCCTGGTCTACAACTATGTAGCTTCTACAGCTTGGTGCTATAGTCTGAATGTCTGTGTCCCCTGAAAGTTTATATGTTGAAACCTAATGAATGTGAAAATTGCAGATACCAGGATGAAATCACTTTTCATCCTAGCTCATGCTTACATGTCTGAAATGAGAACTGTTTCCAAGGACTTTCTAAAAACGTTTTTATGTCCTTCATGTATCTCTCGCTTTGCTAGATCCCTAGATGTTCTCCAGGACTGCTGTTATTCAGATAAGATGTTTTCAGAACACTTGCCCAGTGATGGCATCTCTACCAATGAACTGACAGCAACTCTGGCTTTGAATCTCTGGAACCAATTAACTTTGTTCCACAGGAGGAATCTCAGATAAGACTTTCTTAAAGCCATGCCCAGCCATGGATTTGTGCCATCAAATACTTATAAATTGGGTGAATTTCCTCTCCTCTTGAGGTTCTGAGGTAAACCTGGGGCTTATGTGCCTGTCAGAAAGTGACATTCTTTACTTACTACAGGTCAGAAATCTTGTACGGAGACTGTGTACACAAAATATGGGGCCAGTTTTTCCAAGGACTTTATTGGTTCCATAAGTCAAGTTTGATTCCTTAAAGAAAAGCACACCATTCCAGTCAAAGTCTTAGTAAAACAACCAATTTCTCCAATCGTGTCCTGTTACAAATTAGAACAGATTCTTATTGCACTTATGCAAATAACTGTATCACCATAAGTTAAGAATACTTACAAATAGTTTCTGAATTCTGGAGAAATCAGGTAGAGAGAAACAAATATGCTCCAAATTTTGTCATAGGAGTATACTAAATTGTTAAAAGCTGTCAATAGCTCAAAAGAAAAGTTTTAAGACTGAAACACAAAACAAAGGATCAGCAAACATTTTAAGCAAAAAGTCAAAAAGATTGGTTCAGTCTATGCAGTTAATTCCTGTTCTGCTTGATACTCATGAACATTTTAGCTCTCCATGAGTCCTGAAACTTTTCCCTCTATTCTGATGTCACAATCTCCAAAGTTATCAGAAACCTGCATGTAAGAGCACCTGTTGGAGTTTTACAGCTGATTATAAAACCACCTTCTAAAGAGGACCAAAATAGGCCAGGTGTGTGGCTCACATCTGTAATTTCAGCACTTTGAGAGGCCAAGGTGGGCTGATCACCTGAGGTCAGGAGTTCAAGACCAGCCTGGCCAACATGGTGAAACCCCATCTCTACTGAAAATACAAAAAAATTAGCTGGGCATGGTGGTGTATGCCTGTAATCCCAGCTACTCGGGAGGCTGAGGCAGGAGAACCGCTTGAACCTGGGAGGTGGCAGTTGCAGTGAGCCAAGATCGTGCCGCTGCACTCCAGCCTGGGCAACAGAGTGAGTCCCCATCTCAAAAATAATAATAAAAATATATTTAAAAAAGAGGACCAAAACAACAATTGTGCATGGAAGAAAAAAGTTTTAAGGCAGCCATAGTCAAAAGACAAAACTGACAAGGAAATTTTTTACCTCTGTGGCACACAATAATTTTAATATAACAATTATGATTATTACTGATAATGTACACTAAGTTATATTAGAATTATAGGAGTTTCACATAATTTTGGAACATACACCAATAACATATTTATACAAATACAGCCCAAAGAAAACCAAACACCATTTCACATTTGACAATGCTTCCTATATAATTTTTATACCAAATAAGCCAAATTATGTCATTTTAGGACTTTAGGGAAACTAAGATCTTAAAGGATTAATTAGGTTAGAAAAATACATAATTTATAATTTGATTTTGGAAAGCTTGTCAAATACAAAAGGTTTAAAACACTTGACATTACAAAATAAAATTACAGGTCATCGTAAAGTCATTTATTTAATCCAAGTGATAATTCAAGGATTTCAAAAAAAGCAAAAACCTTCATTCTTTGAGAGAGGTGACTTAACTTTCTAAACAAGAAGCCCTAATAAAAACAGCCTGAAGCCAATCACATTTGATTTTCAAAATTTTGTAAACAAACTATAAGATTTAATCTTGATTATAAAATATAACTTCCATAAGCCTTTTATAACCTTTATGAAGGAGTTGGTTAATGCTTCAAGAAAACCTTGCTAATCAGACACAGGGGTCCATATACTGATTTTGCATCAGTGTGCCTTTGACTTGAATGATTAGTTCATAGAGAAACTGAACTTACTGGATCTTTCAAAATCGGCCCTTACAATCTTACGCGCCCACCTCTTCCGCAATAGTCCCTGGGCCTTGAGGAGTTGAATAGCTTTAATTTCTTGCCTAGTGCCTCAGGAATGCAGTTTATTTTGATTGGCATCTTCTACGGGGCCTTAAGATGAGGCTTTGATTGTCATCAGTGTTTGTGATTTTTCAGACACAGGAGTTAAAGCCCTGTAACTCAATGTTACAAGGACTTTAAAAGCATACACAGGAAGATACATGGATGTAATAACCTTGATTTTTTAAAAATTAGCTCTTTCTTCCCTAAGCAAACCAAAACTTAATAATAATATGACAACTTGATTATATAAAAGCTTTTGGGGTGTGTGTGTGTGTGTGTATATATATATATAAAATCTTATCATGACTTACACCAATGTTCATGACATGCTTGGACTTTCTGGTTTGTCCTGAACATCCCTCCTTGTTAAACAACCAGTTATTTTATTTTAGGACTAAATTTACCATATAAAATTCTTTCTTATATAAAATTATTTCTTTTTCAGCTTTTTAACCTTGAAAAAATTCTTTATTTTTATAACTTTATTTACATTTTTTTTCTTTTCTGGTTCCTTTTACCTTGTTTTATATATAACCTTTTAATAAGCTTTGAATTAGACAAAACTTGTTCACCATTTTTTTAAAAAAGGACACACTTTTTTTTAAGCAACAATGTTTTCCTACAAGATATATTTATTGGAAAATACCCAAATAATAAATTATCTATTATTTAATTTAATATGACTTTATATTCTAAATTATGTCCAGTTGGTCTATAAGTATTTATCCCATTACATTTACCTAGTTATTTTATTAATTGTTTACCTAGATTATTTATAAAAACTGTGATAGTCATGATTTAAAGTTATGAAACTTCCATTGCAAAATTACAACTGAGACAGTGAAAAACGATTTGACCTAACTGACTCCACCTTGCTCTTAACTTCCAAGCTGTCCTTGTTCATTCCTGGGCATAGGCCGAATGAACTTTGGGAGGAACCTAGTTTAAGTTCAGCTTCGAAACAATGACAATAACAGTCCTTTCCCAAAACAAACCTCCTTATTGTCTGTGGACTAAACTGCCTAAAGCCACAGGATTAGAAGTTATGGTAATCTTACTAAATTCAAGATGCAGCTGTTTTCATTAAACCCATATCAATGTCTTATTTATTAAAAATTACACAAGCAAAGATCATTCTGTTTTGGGCTGGGTTTATAGTTTTATAACCCCTATGCCAAATTTTGACACCTTCTGGTATTTGGCAGGGATAAGTATAAAACTGTTTGATTAATATAATGCAAACAAAAATGTATGCTGGCAATTCTTAAGACATTTCTAATACTACTTTACCAATAATTTTAAAGCTACTTTATTTATTAAAGATTTTACTTAAGTTACATAAATTTGAAAAAGCATTTGACTAGCCTTTTCTTTTTTAGTATCTGATTTAAGCACTTTTATTTTTCTTTAAGCCAAGTAGAGCTCTTTTACATATTTTTAGCACTAAAACATCGTGTACACAACACATACATACATATAAAGACGTATTAGGCATGCCAATAGAAGTACATTTTATAGATTTATAATGCCCCCCCACTTTTTTTTCCTATCTTAGACTTTCAGATTCTTGATAACCTGTTTTACAACCCTAGGCAGTTGTCAGCTAAATAGCCTTAAATTTTTGCACATTAAAGGAAACAACCCAGGTGAAAATCAAATAGCAAAATTTACATGATAAGGTACAGAGAGGAAAAGTCTGGTGGTGTTAGAGGGAGATGCTTTTATTTTTCTTTGAGCGATATTAAACATAAAACGAAACTACATTCTTCCTTAACCCAAGAGTAGCCTCTGTTGCAATAGCTATTTTAGTCAAAAAATCCGGTGAAAACAGAATTCAGTCAACTGAGAAGTAAAAGGAAAAAAAAAAAAAAAACTTTTGCTACAAAAAAAAGACAAGGTCTTAGGAGAGAAAAACAAACAAGAAACAAAAACATGAAGGCCTTTCAAATACAAACATGCACAAAACACACATCATGGATGTTACTGTTTCAGTTAAGCAGACTTTCAACCACTGAGCTTCTTTAAAAACTTAAAAAAAAAATCTTATTACCAAATCTCAGCTAGGACAAAGTGTTGCTATTTCAGAAGTACAGCCATTGCTCTTTGAGTTTGGTCTGGCTAGCAAAAAGCTGGCTGTGTTATGTAAATAAAGCCCCTATAGTAATTAAAATTTAAAAAAAGTTTTTTAAGCTGGCTGTTTTCCTACCACTTCAGAGTCCTTGACCCCGTAATTTAGGGTTCCCCTTCAGATTTGACTAAGACAGAAACAAACAACAAAACAGTTAAGCAAAACTAACAATGGTCACACAAATTATACAATTTCTGAGTGCTCTAAGTGCATTGGAAGAAAGCTGAAACTCCATAAAAACATCACCTGCCTTCCATCATCATGAAAGCAGGAAAACTTGCCTTCCTTGTTGGGAGCAAGTAAAACTCCAAAAAAAGAGGTGTTGTACAGCAAAATAAACTTCCGATCTCTACCAAATTTTAAGAGATCAGGGATTTTCTGGAGGGAGTCCTCTCAGACCTCAGCAAATTGTCCTATTGGTTTGAGCCATAAAGTTAGCTCATGCTGGTACCAAGCACCGATAGATTTGTCAAGGGTCAGGGGCATCTCCACCCAGAATCCATTCATGGTTTCCAAAATGTGAACCCAGAAAATCCGAGACAGGTCTCAGTTAATTTAGAAAGTTTATTTTGCCAAGGTTGAGGACACACTGTGACACAGACTCAGGAAGTCCTGATGACATGTGGCCAAGATGGTTGGGGCATACCTTGGTTTTATACATTTTAGGGAGACATAAGACATTAATCAATATATGTAAGAAGAACATTGGTTCAGTGGGGAGGGAGCTTCCAGGTCACAGATAGGTGAGACACAAACAGTTGCATTCTTTTGAGTTTCTGATTAGCCTTTCCAAAGGAGGCAATCAGATATGTATCTATCTCAGTGAGCAGAGAGATAACTTTGAATAGAGTGGGAGGTGGGTTTGCCCTAAGAAGTTTCCCTAAGCTTGAGTTTTCCTTAGTGATTCTGGGGCCCCAAGATATTTTCCTGTCACAGTTGACATCCCCAACACAGTGTTTAGGGCTCAGAAAAAGATACCCTAAAATAGGGTGCTTTGGCATGCTGAGTGCTTTGAATAAAGGAGACTGAAGGGCCTCAGAAATAAGAGAACAAAGGTCTATCTCTGACCCACTGCTGCCCACCTCCCTTCCCTTCCAAAGCACAGGGAGGGATTTTCTTTGAAGTTCTCTTATTTGATTAAGGGAAGTTTCTCCAGAAGGAAGGTAATTGTCCTGGACACCCCTTCCTGGAATCTACATCGATCAGAGAAGATTAACTCATATTGCAGGACAGGAGAATAATTAAAAGTTGCTCAAGACAGCACACCTAGATAGACTTTTTGCTTATTCTTTCAACTATAGTTATGTGTCCAATAACAATGTTTCGGTCAACTGCATATACAACCATGGTTTGATAAGATTTATAGTGGACTTGAAAAATTCCTATTGCCTAATATACTGAAGGAAGAAAATGTTTTAATATGCATTTTGTGTACCCTAAGTGTGCTGTGTTTATAAAGCCTACAGTAGTATACAGTAATGCCCTAGGCCTTCACATTCATTCACCACTCACTGACTCATCTGGAGCAACTCTCAGCCCTGCAAGCTCCATTCGTAGTAAGTGCCCTGTACAGGAGAGCCAATTCTTATCTTTTATGCCATATTTTTACTTTCCTTTTTCTCTGTTTACATATGTTTAGATACACAAATATTTCCCATTGTGCTGCAATTGCCTATAGTATTCAGTAGTCACATGCTGTACAGGTGCGTAGCCTGGGAGCAATAGGCTCTCCCATATAGCCTAGGTATGCAGTAGGCTATGCCATCTAAGTTTTGTATAAGTACAATCTGTGATAATCACACTACAATGCAATTGCCTAATGACACATTTATCAGAATGCGTCCCTGTCACCAAGAGATACATGACTGTATTCTTCTTCTTTTTTTTTTTTTTTTTTTTTTTTGAGATGGGGTCTCATTCTGACACCCAGACTGGAGTGCAGTGGCATGATCTTGGCTCACTGCAACCTTTACAGCCTGGGTTCAAGCGATTCTCCTGCCTCAGCCTCCCGAGTAGATAGGATTACAAGTGCCCTGCCACTACACCTGGCTAATTTTTGTATTTATAGTAGAGACAGGGTTTTGCCATGTTGGCCAGGCTGTTCTCAAACTCCTAACCTCAGGTGATCCAGCTTTATTAGTGTAATTACACTTTATCAGTGTAATAAGGCAAACTTTGCTCACCACAGACTTCCTCCCCCTACCCCCTCCCACAGCCTGTGTCACTACCTCCCCATCAGAGGCCTCACTTCCTGTAGCTTGGGGTGTTATTTAAGCTTCTGCCATCTGGCCCACATTAAAAAATGTATATGCTTTTTCTCCTGTTAATCTGTCTATTGTCAGCTTGTTTTATAGATTCAAATTCTTAAACCTTCAAGGTCTAGAAAGGAAGTTCCTTCTACCCCTCCAATAGTATAAAGAAGTGGAGCCTTTTGGTAGGTGATAGAGTCATGAGGGCCCTGCCTTTAGGCATAGAGTTAGTGCCTTTATAAAAGAGGCCCAGGGGGGCTTGTTTGCCCCTTCTGCCATGTGAGAACACAGCAAGACAGTGCCATCTGTGAAGCAGAGAGTGAGCCTTCACGAGATGTGGAATCTGCTGGTGCCTTGATTTTAGACTTCTCAGCCTCCAGAACTGTGGATCTCTGGATACATCTCTGTTGTTTGTAAATTACCCAGTCTAAGGTATTTTGTTATAGCAGCACAAACAGACTAAGACACTTGGCGAGTGACATAACCTGTCTGGCTTAGTCATCTTTGGTTGCTATAACAAAATAGTAACAAACTACTATAGATTGAGTTGCTTACACCACAGAAATTTATTGTTTCACAGTTCTAGAGGCTGGAAGTCCCAGACTGACTGACTTATTCAGTTCCTGGTGAGGGCTCTCTTCTTCTGCCTTGCAGATGGCTGCCTTCTTGCTGCATCTGCAAATAGCCTTCCTTCAGTGTAGGTGTGCAGCAGGGGTGGGGAGGCCCTCTTGTATTTCCTCCTCCTCTTATAAAGAAGTCAATTCCATCGGGTTAGGACCTCACCCTATGGCCTCAGTCAACCCTAATTACCTCCCAAAGGGTCCATCTCTAAATACAGCCACATTTTGGTTTAGGACTTCAACATATGAATTGGGAGGAGGAGACAATTTAGTTCCTAACTCCGCCTGTGGCTCTGTGACCTCTTTGTTAAAACTGGGAAGACCCGGCTGGGCAGGGTAGCTCACGCTTGTAATCCCAGCATTTTGGGAGGCCAAGGTGGGTGGATCACTTGAGGTCAGGAATTCGAGACCAGCCTGGCCAAAATGGTGAAACCCTGTCTCTACAAAAAAATACCAAAATTAGCTGGGCGTGGTGGTGCGTGCCTGTAATCCCAGCTACTTGGGAGGCTGAGGCAGGAGACTTGCTTGCACTCAGGAGGCAGAGGTTGCAGTGAGCCGAGATTACGCCACTGCACTCCAGCCTGGGCAACAGAGACCCTGTCTCAAAACAAACAAACAAACAAACAAACAAACAAACAGGGAAGACCCTTTTCCCAGCACATAGGCCTTAAGGAGCATTGAAGGAGAAACAGAAGGCATGCCGAGGTCTGTCCAGGACAGGCACCCTCATCTCCAAGATGTACTTGATATTATTTGGACCTCCAAGGCCATTGTATGCCATGTCCTGAGGAACATTCATGTAAACTGTACATACACACAGACACACAGACACACACACAGCCACAGCCACATCCACACATGCTCCCTTAACTCCTTCCAGTAAGCCTCGGTTTCGCAGGTCCCAGTTAAATCCTTCCCCACCCCTCTGGCCCTTGACCTCACTTTCTGCTGCAAGCTCTTGTAGAGCTGGGTGAGTTCTGTGAGTTTCCTCTCCAGCTCCAAGGCCTTGGCTCTCAACTCTTCCGCAAACTTTGTCCTTGCTCCTTCCTTCAGGTGCTTCCATTCCTTTGAGAGAGTGGCCAAGTCATAGCCAAGGGAGAAGGCGGACATCACACCTCCCAGCACGCGAGCATTTTTGGTCATCGCCAGTGTTGTTCCCGCAAAGGCCTTTTGCACCTGCACGCGGCTCCGGGAGGAGACTTGGCCAGTGGTCAGAAGACGCTTGGTAGCATTGGCCAAGCGTGGGTTGGCTCTGAGTTTCCAAAATGCACGGACGTTTTTCTTGGCATACTTCAAGGTGTTTCTAAGATTATAGATAATCTTTCCAGCAGCTGTGACATAGTCTGCCTTCTCTTCCTCATCCTCCCTGTCCTCTTGGTCGTAGGTGGGCAGTATGTCTTCCGCCCGTGCTTGGGCTTCTTTATTTTTGGAGCGTTCCAACGTACCACTCACGATGCTGGTGACCCCAGCTGCTGTTGCCAAACCTTGACCAGCGGTGGAGAGCAGCAGGCTTCCTCCTCCTGTTGCTGGGGCAAGGGCTAAACCCAGGAGGCTCATCACTCCAGAGATGACAGCAGTAGAGGTGGCCACCATGTTAGCCTTGGTGAATTTCTTGTGGGTTTTGTCAATATCGTCTGCGAGGGCACGGAGCTTGTCAATGTTCCCTTTCAGATCTTCTTTCAATCTGGGAAATTCTCTCAAAAATATTTTTTCTTCGGGGGACAGATCTCCGTCTTGTAGCTCCACGTCTTCACACAGAGGAGCGTCATCCTCATCCCTGAGGAGAAATGAAATAAAGATTTTGCTTCAGCTTCCCAGATGGGAAAACCCATGTGGCTCTTGGATATTCTTGCCACTCTCAGCTTCGAATCCTCCCTGTACCTCCCTACAAAATCCCCTGAAAAGTCCTAGAGCATTGTAGAGTAGTTCAGCCTTCGCTGAAAACTACTGGTTCCATGGAAAAAAGAAACACATAAGAGGGGCATGTGGAAGGACAAATGTGAATCACCCCAGCCTTGGTCAAGGAATGGGGAAGGAAAATTAAGTCCTGAGGTATGTTTTCAGCCTTGTTCAGAGAAAGCACAGCACTGCTGCAGAGGAGGGGCAGTGGGGAAATGTTAAAACCCCACTCAAGATAAAGAACTTGGGAACAATGGCGGGAGAGTTCTGGGAAAAGTAGGAGAAAGAGAAGACAAGGTGGTGGGCAGGGGATGAGCGTCCCAGATGTGTAGAAGTGAGTAGGAGGGTGGAGGGGGCCATATTGCATCATACATCCTCCACTCTAATGACCTCGAATCTGGTTACTCTGGGGTGTGTCTTTGCTTCTATCAGGAGTTGCACATTGAGAGTTGAGATAAATTATTATTCATGTCCTGAATGCTCTCCTTGCTCTTGGTCAGCTTTACTTGACCCTTCAAGCAGATGGGATTAGTCCTTCATGGAAGAAGTTTGGGACAAAGAGACCTAGGCCCCTCTTCCTCCAACATTTTACAGGATGAAGTACGAAGGGATCTTTGCCAGGCCAGTTGGCTTTGACCTTCAAGGCAGAGCTGCATCAGGGTGAGAGCAAAGCCTGCTGCTTGGGGCATTTTCTCATGCAAGGTGCCATTTGTGCATTTCCTTCAGGGTGAGCCGAGGAGGCCTGGTGATAACAGATGCCCTGGCCCAAAGAAGAACATCAGAGCTGGAGGGAGGCCTGGAGAGGATCTGGGCCACCTCCTTTATGATTCAGTGGGGGGCCTCAAGCCCAGAGAGAAAAGAGGACACTCCCAAAGGAACATGCAAGGTAAAGATGGAGCATTGGGTGGGCTCTGAGTCCTAAACTTGGTGCTTTCTGCCTTTCCTCTCACCTGTCAGTTGATGTCAGGGCCTCCTCATTGAAGTATATGTATGTCCATAAATGTATTTATCTTTAAATCTCTCTTTCCACACACACACGCACACAATTCCTCAGTGGGAAAGATTAGAAACTAAATATACCATCGAGCATATGTTTTAAGTGTTAATGAATTAATAAATTTAGGCACAATTATCTATTAATCCACAGGTGTAAATCAGTTAACAGAGCAGAAGGTCACCAGGGCTTGCAATGGGGAAGGGGTGGGATGAAGGCAAGCGGGGTGGCCCTGACAAAGAACCCCAGACATAAAAGATGCCATAGGTTAGCCCACCCTGATCTCTGTGTTTCCTCAAGGTATGCTAGACAAAAAGAAACAGCAAATAGATATGTAGCTGCAAAGATCAACAACGCCACTGTGTATGAACTGTAAAGTTTTTGGTTTTAGCATGGTTGATAACTAACAGAAGCTTGACTTCATGTGTTTCTTAATTAAACCAAGCGTCTCACATGTGAACACCTCTGCTCCAGTGAATCCTGTATCAGCTGGTGATGTCTACTGGCATTGGATAACATTTCAGTCCAGTTCCATGACATATTACACATAGAGTTCGTCTAATTCACTCAGCAAATATTTGTTACTTGCACACATTGTGCAGGGGGCCGGTGGTGCTACGTCTGCTGATTTACAGACAACTGGGCTTAAATTCATTAATTTGTTAACACCAAATGGCTTCCTTCCTTGGTGATATATGAGCTGAAGAAATGGAGTTCCTGTCTTCAAGACAGTTGCAGAGATGAGGCCCCAGAGTGGAGCAATTTTTGTCTTTGGAGTCCTATTGCCCAAAGCCATGCGCCTGACTTAATCTTGACTTGCTCTCCAAAATATTTACTTTAGCTCCATGAAGTATTTTTTTCCCTAGGGGAACAGATTTTCATATGCATAATGGAGACCAGCGGTAAGATAAGGCCCACTTAACAGCTAATCCTATCAGAGCACATGTATTCCTTATCGTGAGGATGCCTGCAGCATTTCAACAGAATCAGCCCTCTCCCTGGGGACTACACCCTTTGGATTACCTTTGCAAACCAACACCAGCCTCACTTTCTCTCTCCGCCTGGTTGTCCATCAGCCTCTGTGGCAGCAAATCTGTGTCCCCAGGAGTCAAATGATTTTCTGGTCAGGAATGTAGAAAAACAACGTTACTGCACATATGATGAAACCTTATGAAATTCAGGTGTGGAGGGATTTTGGATTATGTACTATCAAAATAACAACCACATAGCATACTAAATATTTGCAAACTATTATTTGAAAATTGTATGTTGAGGTGTAGCTTACATACAATAAATGCATACAGTGAAATAGTCAGTTCAATACATTTTTACCTCTATATTGGAGGGTAGCAGTATACACCATCCCAAAATATGCCACTTTGGCATAAGGATTATTTTGAGCCAAATGTAATTGAGAAGAAGTGGGTACAAGAAAAGTTCTCCACCCTCCCTCTATTTGCCTAAAAGCAAGACATAAATTGACAAAGGTAAAGCTGTCCCTTGTCTCCTCACTAACAAGAAGGATAAAGTTTGATCACCAAAGATGACATTGACTTACTTTCCCACAAGTTGCTCCTGCTGGAGACTCAAAACCCTTTTCCATTGTCTTGCTACTTCTCTAAAAATGTACTGTTCATTGTTGGAGATGTATTGAAGCTGGAATTCAAAGCTACCTCTTTGAGAATTATTTAATCCCTGGATCTCTCCCATGTCCATATGAAATAGACATGTTAATACGCTTCTGCTTGGTTTTCTCTCGTTAATGTGTCTTGGGTTACAGGAGTCTGTTCCAGCTAAGAACTTATGAGGGTTGAGAAAAAAATTACTTTTCCTCCCATACATAGCCAAGGGCTGGTAACAACTCAAATACATCAATCAACAGAAGAATAAACAAACAAATTATAGTTTTTTTATATAGTTAAATATTACATAGCAATAACAATTTTGAAAACTACTGATACCCAAACAACATGGAATAATTTCACAGACATTATTATTGAGTGAAAGAAATCAAACAAATGGCTCCATTTATATGAAACTCAATAATATGCAAATGAATTGGTTGTAGAAGTCAGAATCGAGGTTTCTTCTCGGGTAGTGCGATTATTGACTGGGAGGAGGAAGTACAAGGAAATCTCCTTTTCTCCATCTTGACCTGGGTAAGTGATTCCTTAGATGGATATTATAAGAGAGGAAAAAATAATTTTCCCTCTGCCCTTCTAAGTTCTCAGCTAGGATCCTTGTAACCCAAGACAGATTCATAAGAGAAAAACAAACAGGAGTGGATTAATATGTACCTCTTAAGTGTATGTAGGAGACACCAGGGAATAAATAATTCTCAAAGGAGTGGCTTGGAACTCCCTGCTTATATAGCCACCTTCAACAAAGAACTATACAATTTTAGAGAAGGGACAAGATGAAGAAAAAAGACTTTGCATCTTGAGGGCCACCAAATTGTGGGTAGACAAATAAATAGGAAATGAAGGATAGAAAGAAACTAGTCAGTAAGTTTTGTTACGCAGCTTCCTCTGGTACCATCTCCAGGCCTATAAGGGTCTAAAGTTCTCAGTGGTTAACCTTTATTCTCCTTGATAGAAAGACCTTTGTAAATTTAGATCTTGCTTTTAGGCAAATAGAGAGAGGACAGAGAACCTTCCTGCATCTGCTGCTTCTTAATTGCCTTCGCCTCAATAATCCCTATGCCAAAGAGGCATATCTGGGGGTAGCTTATTCTGTTCTCTCACAATTATGACCACATAGACTGTAATGATTAAAGGATCATTTTCACCAAACAAAGCAGTAATTTACAAGGCCCCTTTGTACAAATTGTATTCCCAAGAACATAATATGTTGTGATATTGTGATTTATAATTATATATAGATATATAATTACATATACGTGTGTATATATATGTGTGTGTATGTGTGTGTGTGTATATATACATATATATATATATAGAGAGAGAGAGAGAGAGAGTTCTTATCCCCATTTCTGGCACAGGGCTCTTAAAACCCTTGGAATTTCCTGAGCGATGAGAGCAGTAAAGGTGAAAAGAGCATCTTTTCTTAACCATAACCGACCCCTTTTAGCCACACCCGAGTTTATGTTAATGAGGTGACTTTAGAAAGCCTCCAAGGATGGGGGGCTGCTTGTCTGGGGAAACAACCATGTGATTTGAGGGTTGGAATATTCAGCCCTACCCCTTGAGTTCCAGGAGAGGAGAGAGACGGGAGATTGAGTTAACCACAAATGGCCCATAGTTTCTTTAATCCATCATGCCTGTGTAAGGAAGCCTCCATAGAAACCCAAAAGGACAGGGTTCAGAGAGCTTCTGGGTTGGTGAACACATGGAGGTACCTGGAGGGTGGTGTGCCCAGAGAGGGCATGGGAACTCCATGTCTCTTCCCCCATATCTTGCCCTGTGCATCAATTCCGTCTGGCCATTCTTGAGTTGGATCCTTTATAATAAACTAGTCATTGTAAATAAGTGTTTCCCTGAGTTTTGCAAGCTGTTCTAGCAAATTATTGAAACTGAGGAGGGAGTTGTGGAAACCTTCCATGTGTCACCAAGTTGGACAAAAGTTGTGGGCAACCTGGGGACCCACCACTTACAACTGGTGTCTGAAGTAGGGGCAGTCTTATGGGACTGAGCCCTTAACCTGGGGGATCTGATAGTATCTCCAAGGAGATAGTGTCAGAATTGAGTTAAACTGTAGGATGCCAAGTTTGTTCTCATAAAGAAGTGGAGAATTGCTTGGTGTAGGGAAAAAAACTCACATATTTTGGTGACCAGAAGAAGGTAAATTGGTGTGAGTATTGAGGGTAGTAGTAGAGTTCAGCCTCCTTCCTTCACCTCTCTCGCACACGCCCTCTTGCCCTTCTGCCTTCTGCCTTCTGTCATGGGATAACACAGCAAGAAGGTCCTTGCCACGTATCTCAAAATAATAAGAGCTATCTATGACAAACCCACAGCCAATATCATACTGAATGGGCAAAAACTGGAAGCATTCCCTTTGAAAACTGGCACAAGACAGGGATGCCCTCTCTCACCACTCCTATTCAACATAGCGTTGGAAGTTCTTGCCAGGGCAATCAGGCAGGAGAAAGAAATAAAGGGCATTCAATTAGGAAAAGAGGAAGTCAAATTGTCCCTGTTTGCAGATGACATGATTGTATATCTAGAAAACCCCATTGTCTCAGCCCAAAATCTCCTTAAGCTGATAGGCAACTTCAGCAAAGTCTCGGGATACAAAATCAATGTGCAAAAATCACAAGCATTCTTACACACCAATAACAGACAAACAGAGAGCCAAATCATGAGTGAACTCCCATTCACAATTGCTTCAAAGAGAATAAAATACCTAGGAATCCAACTTACAAGGGATGTGAAGGACTTCTTCAAGGAGAACTACAAACCACTGCTCAATGAAACAAAAGAGGATACAAACAAATGGAAGAACATTCCATGCTCATGGGTAGGAAGAATCAATATCATGAAAATGGCCATACTGCCCAAGGTAATTTATAGATTCAATGCCATCCCCATCAAGCTACCAATGACTTTCTTCACAGAATTGGAAAAAACTACTTTAAAGTTCATATGGAACCAAAAAAGAGCCCACATTGCCAAGTCAATCCTAAGCCAAAAGAACAAAGCTGGAGACATCACGCTACCTGACTTCAAACTATACTACAAGGCTACAGTAACCAAAACAGCATGGTACTGGTACCAAAACAGAGATATAGACCAATGGAACAGAACAGAGCCCTCAGAAATAATGCCGCATATCTACAACTATCTGATCTTTGACAAACCTGACAAAAACAAGAAATGGGGAAATGATTCCCTGTTTAATAAATGGTGCTGGGAAAACTGGCTAGCCACACGCAGAAAGCTGAAACTGGATCCCTTCCTTACACCTTATACAAAAATTAATTCAAGATGGATTAAAGACTTAAATGTTAGACCTAAAACCATAAAAACCCTAGAAGAAAACCTAGGCAATATCATTCAGGACATAGGCATGGGCAAGGACTTCATGTCTAAAACACCAAAAGCAACGGCAACAAAAGCCAAAATTGACAAAGGGATCTCATTAAACTAAAGAGTTTCTGCACAGCAAAAGAAACTACCATCAGAGCGAACAGGCAACCTACAGAATGGGAGAAAATTTTTGCAATCTACTCATCTGACAAAGGGCTAATATCCAGAATCTACATGAACTCAAACAAATTTACAAGAAAAAAACAAACAACTCCATCAAAAAGTGGGCGAAGGATATGAACAGACACTTCTCAAAACAAGACATTTATGCAGCCAAAAGACACATGAAAAAATGCTCATCATCACTGGCCATCAGAGAAATGCAAATCAAAACCACAATGAGATACCATCTCACACCAGTTAGAATGGCGATCATTAAAAAGTCAGCAAACAACAGGTGCTGGAGAGGATGTGGAGAAATAGGAACACTTTTACACTGTTGGTTGGACTGTAAACTAGCTCAACCATTGTGGAAGTCAGTGTGGCGATTCCTCAGGGATCTAGAACTAGAAATACCATTTGACCCAGCCATCCCATTACTGGGTATATACTCAAAGGATTATAAAACATGCTTCTATAAAAACACATGCACACATATGTTTATTGCGGCACTATTCACAATAGCAAAGACTTGGAACCAAGCCAAATGTCCAACAATGCTAGACTGGATTAAGAAAATGTGGCACATATACACCATGGAATACTATGCAGCCATAAAAAAGGATGAGTTCGTGTCCTTTGTAGGGACATGGATGAAGCTGGAAACCATCATTCTCAGCAAACTATCGCAAGGACAAAAAACCAAACACCGCATGTTCTCACTCCTAGGTGGGAATTGAACAATGAGAACACATGGACACAGGAAGGGGAACGTCACACACCGGGGCCTGTTGTGGGGTGGGGGGAGTGGGGAGGGATAGCATTAGGAGTTATACCTAATGTTAAATGATGAGTTAATGGGTGCAGCACACCAACATGGCACATGTATACATTTCTCCGGGTGAAATTATCCTGGATTCAGGGTGGCCCTGAAATCCATCACTGATGTCATTATAAGAAGAGGAGGTGACAGAGAGAGACACAGCAAAGAAGGCTGCACGCAGACAGAGGCAGAAATTAGAGTCGTGCTGTCAGAAGCCACCGAGGCTGCAAAAGGCACAGATGGTCTCCCTGGAGCCTGCAGCAGAAGTGCGCCCTACTGGCACTGGGATTTTTGACTTCCAGCCTCCAGAACTGTGAGACACTAAATGTCTGTTGTTTGAAGCCACCTGGTTTGTGGTGCTTTCTGACAGCAGCCCTAGGGAAGCCAATACATTCCTTTGCATCTCTTCTCTACATTTGGTACTTGGTCCAGCGCTTACGGCAGAAATGCTGTTTCCTAGATATAGCTTCTCCCTCAGCTCATCCTCCCTTCTCTCATCCTCTTCCCTTCCACTTCTAAAAAGTTAGAAAAAAACATCCTCCCTCACACACTCTGAAGGGACACAAATTCTTTATTTTTAAAAAAATTTTTTTTTTTTTTTGAGACTGAATTTTGCTCTTGTTGCCCGGGCTGGAGTACAATGGCATGATCTTGGCTCACTGCAACCTCCACCTCCCAGATTCAAGCGATTCTCCTGCTTCAGCCTACCAAGTAGCTGGGATTACAGGCACGTACTAACACACCCGGCTAATTTTTGTATTTTTAGTAGAGATGGGGTTTCACAAGGTTGGCCAGGCTGGTCTTGAACTCCTGACCTCAGGTGATCCACCCACCTCGGGCTCCCAAAGTGCTGGGATTACAGGCATGAGCCACCATGCCCAGCCCAGGACACAAATTTTTATAGCCATTCATTTATAGCCATTCATTCATTCATTCACTTATAGCCATGAATACAAGTTTAAGGTTGAAAATTTAGAAATAAATTATAAAATCCACCTTACGCTCACCATATGGAAATGCATGCTGTTCATGTAGTTTGTGTGAATTCTTGTCACCTAACATTGTATCTTAGTAGTTCCCCAGGCGATACATAGAAGCCATGTCGCATTTCATTTTACGAATGTATCATTACACATTCAATAACTCTCTCACTGTTGAACCTTTGGGTTGTTTTCAGTTATTTTAAAATTTTGTATTTATAATTTTTGGTTAAAATCCTTATATAGACGTCTGTCTACATGTTTGGTTATTTCTTTGGGGTAGTCTATGAAAAAGAATGAATGCTTCAAAGATAAAAACCTTCTCCCCTCTTTGGTATGTGAAGCTAGGTTTGGTTTAGGGGGCTTGGCACCTTTAAGAGTTTACTTTCACCAGACATACATCTACCTGCTTTACACAGTGACCCAGTGAGATCGGTGCTAAGATGATGCCCATTTTACAGAGGTGCAAACTGAGACATAGGGAGGCCAGTGTCACACAGTAAGCAGGAAAGCCTGTGCAATTCCAGCCACGCAGAGTCTGGAGTAGTTGGTCCCAAACAGGGCGTGTTTGCTCCTCAGGGACACTGCTAATATCTGGAAACATTTTTGATGGTCTCAGCTGGAGAGGGTACTGCTGTTGGTATGTAGAGGGCAGAGGCCAGGGATGCTGCCAAGCACCCTACGATGCAGAGGACAGCCCCCACAACCAGGGATCACCTGGTTGAACATGACAAGGTTGCTGGGGGTAAGAGACTCTGGTCTGGAACCCCATTTTTTACCAGCGTCCGCCAATACCTCTCTCATTTTTTTACATTAGTCCTATGGGATGCAGGGCAAAGGTAACAGCAGGAAACTCATCTAAGCAGGTCCCATTCCATCCCCTCTGACCTGCTCTTGGTGGTTGCGAGAGGATTTGCTTGTGAGAGGTTTATTGGAAGAGGATTTGAGAACTTACTTTCATTTGAAAGCTTACAGGATATTTATGACAGTCTTTCCTTACCTGCCTTCCCCCACAAAACCAACTTCTGCAGATACACAATCTAAGTAAGAAAAATCTGCTTACTTTGAAAACACAGCTTCAAGATAACCTCCCTAGATTTTTTTTTTTTTTTTTGAGACCGGGTCTCACTCTGTTGCCCAGGCTGGAGTGCAGTGGTGCGATCACTGCTCACTGCATTCTTGACTTCCTGGGTTCAAGTGATCCTTCCACCTCAGCACCCTCCCAAGTAGCTGGGACTACAGGTGTGCACCATCACGCCCAGCTATTTTTTGATTTTTTGTAGAGACGGGGTCTCACTATGTTGCCCATGCTGGTCTCAAACTCTTGGGCTCAAGCAATCCGCTTGCCTTAGCCTCCCAAAATGCTGGGATTACAGGCATGAGCCACTGCGCCTGGCCTAGTCGCCCTAATATTTATCACAAACTCCCTCACCCTCTTCCCCAAACAACTTCACATAAATCTACAATCTAGAAAACTCTGTAGGTTGGCTTTGCAGTTTCTAGACAACTCACCCAGCACCTTTTTTCTTGTGAGATGACACCCCTAAACCACTCCTCTACTGAATTTCTAGGGAAACGCCTGTGGCTGATGTAATCATCTGCTTTCTAAGGGCCAGGTCCCCTCTGCCTAAGCCCTCGGATCCCCAGCAGTGGAGGGACAAATGCAACTTGGCTAGTCACATCGCATGCTTTAGCATGTTTCAATTTAACCCTGAAATGGCTGTAAGGGAGGGAAACCTACCAGGATTAACACAGGAGAAGTTAATCCTCAGACTCTCCTCAAGCTCTGGCTGGCATTTGAACCCCGCTGCTTTCACAGCAGCTCTTTTCCCTGAGTCAGGTGCCTAAAGCCAACCCCTTGGGGGCTCTGTCCTTCAGGGACCAGAGCGGCAGCCCCCTCCTCCCCCGACTTCTGCCCGCCGTCTCACCTTCTCTCCACGGAGCTCTCCTTTGTGGCCTTGGGTCCCGAGGGAGAGGAAGATCCTGAACCTCTGTCCTTGCCTCTCCGAGGTCCCCTGGTCTGGCAGGGGGCTGTGAGTGTCTGGGCTGGAGAAAGACGGATAGGAAGAGTAGGGTGGCCTTTGAACAGGAATTGATTGCAAAACTGGTTTCGGTTAAGTGCTGCAGGAGAGAAAAAGCAAAGCTCTAGGGCTCTTCCAGGAAATCATGGGCTCCAGCTGTCACTTTCAGTTTCCTTTTTGCCAGTTTCTCTAATTGGATGAACAAGGAGGTGAAAGAGCAGAATCCAAGTCAGGAGGCCTGAGTCTCTCGTCTCTGTCCTGGCTGTGTTATAGGATGGACCTATATGGGGTATGAAAATAGCTCCTGTGGCTTAGAGCTATGGTGAGGAGCCCATGAGCAAGCGATGGGGCGCCTGTTGAATAGTGGATTCACAGTAGCTGTCATCACTGATTGTTCTGAAACTGCTTTCCTCCACAGCATCTTACGTGACGCTGATGTGGGTAACAACCCTATGAGGTGCACAGCATTAAAGGGCTAATAACTCTGAATGCAGAATCCTCTGAAAATGGAAACTTTATTTTATTATTATTATTATTATTGTTTTTTGAGATGAAGTCTCGCTCTGTTGCCCAGGCTGGAGTGCAATGGCACGATCTCGGCTCACTGCAACCTCCGCCTCCTACGTTCAAGCTATTCCCCTGTCTCAGCCTCCCTAGTAGCTGAGATTACAGGCACCTGCCACCACGCCCGGCTGATTTTTGTATTTTTAGTAGAGATGGGGTTTTGCCATGTTGGCCAGGCTGGTCTCAAACTGCTGACCTCAAATGATCCATCCATCTAGGCCTCCCAAAGTGCTGGGATTACAGGCGTGAGCCACCGCACCTGGCCTCAGAATGAAAACTTAAAAAAAAATGATAATTTATTCATTTAGTGGCAAAACCTGACCTGATCTGGCATGAATTCACCTGTGGTTTTTATGTCTCCTGCTTAATTTGAATATTTACAGTCACTGCAGAAATATTAATATGTTTGACTGAGGAGGGCTGCTGCGGGTGCGTGGGTTACATAGTACACGATACCTGCACCCCATTACCTTTCTAAAAATCCCCCAAATCAGGAACTCTGACATGCATCTGGCCTCAAGGATTGGAGATATAGGATTGTGATACTCTGTCTCCCACTTTAAGGAAGAGGAAACCCAGGCTTCTAGAAGTTGTGGGTTGTTTGTGATTACACAGCTAAGAACCAGTCCTAGGCTCTGTGTCTACAAGAATGAGCCCACAGTGAGGTTACGGGCTGAGATCTGTGTCTCTCTAGCATTTGTGTCAAATTGTGATCAGAAGCCATGTGGTTTGTTTGTATTTATATGCCCAGAAGTCCCCAGTCACCACCCCTAGCTGAGACCACATTGGAGGCTGTTGCTTTGCAGAAGGTGCGGCCCACCTAGCCAGTCCTGGCTTTGCTGTGATAGAGGCCACCTCCTGTCCCTGGGCCCTACGAGCAGGAATGAGGGGTTAAGGGCTGCTGAGTTGGGTCTTGTAGGGGCCTTTCCAACCGTGGCATCCCGGATTCCACAACCCACCCCTGCTCCTGGCCTCCCACACTTGGGGAACACGCTAAACACAGCCTGACCTTGAGGAGGACTTGGCTGCCTGGCTGGGGCCGCTGAGCCATCCCAGGCCTGCCTGTTGTTTTCCCTGGCAACGGACCCAGATGTTGTGGTCACTGCTCGGTCCTGGGAGTCTCAGGGGCCAGACCGGCCATTGGATGGGGGCAGTGTTTACCACCAGGGCTCTTGTGAAACAATCGCCCCAAGAGATGCCATGTGAGAAAAATGTTCTGTAGCCAAATGCAGGAAGTGCTGCTTATGTAAGGGGACAGAAAACATCCACCCTATAGCTCAGATGAACAAAAGTAGGGAGTCGCTTAATTTCCTAGAGTCCACTTCCCTTCCCTCAAGGGACCCAAGACCTGCTGAAAAGAAACAAACTTGCCTGAAGGCCCCTTAGTCTCTTGTGATTTAAAACACACTCTCGGACCGGGCGCGGTGGCTCACGCCTGTAATGCCAGCACTTTGGGAGGCTGAGGCAGGTGGATCGCTTGAGGTCAGGAGTTTGAGGCCAGCCTGACCAACATGGTGAAACCCTGTCTCTACTAAAAATACAAAAATTAGCTATGTGTGGTGGCGGGCACCTGTAATCCCAGCTACTCGGGAGGCTGAGGCAGGAGAATCGCTTGAACCTGGGAGGTGGAGGTTGCAGTGAGCCGAGATTGTGCCACTGCACTCCAGCCTGGGCGACAGAGCGAGACTCTGTCTCAAAAAAACAAACAAACAAACACACACACACACACACACACACACACATCTTTGGGTAAAGTCTCTCATTTGGGGGTGAATGTTCAGGCAATTTAAGTTCAAATTTTCTATCAGGGCTTTTTATGTTTTCTGAAAAGTTTGCCTCTCATTGAGGCTGCAGTGAGCTGAGATTGCACCACTGCACTCCAGTCTGGGTGACAGAGCAAGACCCTGTCTCAAAAAAAAAAAAAAAAAAAAAGAAAGAAATTTGCATGCCTCGGAGATGGCACCTGGGGGCAGGGGCTTGTGCTGGCCCTCTGGGGTTCCACTGGCCCACAAAGAGGGTCCTTTGTGACCCTTCCAGCAGGCATTGCTGGCTCCTGGACACCTGGGTTCTGGTTTGCCTTGGCACCTCTCTGAGGAGCTGCAGGTTTTCTGTGTTGCAGCCACAACCAACCCACTCTGGGCTCAGGCTGTCTGCCTCCCAGAGAGCTCATCACGCCTCGGCCCAGTGGCCCCTGGCACAGGCAGGGACCATCCGTCCTGGGATGGGGGAAAGGCCTTGAAGCACACTTTGACCCTGAAATTCTTGGATTCTAGAAATTTCTTTTCTTCTCTCTGGCTACAGCATTTAGGGAGAGTTTGAACCTAGGAGGCGGAGGTTGCCTAGAGTTTGAGCAAATGCTGCCCTGAGACTGCAATTTGCCAAATGTAGCAAAAGTTCTATCGTGGCCTCCATTGCTTTGCCTGGAAGCAGTTTCAGGATCCTGGGAGCCCAGGCCAGAGCGAAGCAGGGAAGCAGCCATTACAAGGGGAGAGTGGAGCACTGAACTTGAACCCAGGACCACCAAAAGGGCCAGGCCTCGCATGGCCACACCCTTGTTGCTTGGCGTACAGCAACTAACCCTCACCCACTTCCATCCCATCTCCTTCCCGGGGTTCTTGTGAGGAAGGTTTTTGTTCGTTTGTTTTTTGTTTTGTTTTGTTTTTTTGAGACAGTCTCGCTCTGTCGCCCAGGCTGGAGTGCAGTGGTGCGATCTCGGCTCACTGCAACCTCTGCCTCCTAGGTTCAAGCAATTCTCCTGTCTCAGTCTCCAAGTAGCTGGGATTACAGGCATGTGCTAATACGCCTGGCTAATTTTTGTATTTTCAGTAGAGATGGGGTTTTGCCATGTTGGCCAGGCTGGTCTTGAACTCCTGACCTCAGGTGATTCACCCGCCTTGGCCTCCCAAAGTTCTGGGATTATAGGTGTTAGCTATCATGCCCAGCGGAATGAGTTATCTTGACAATGGTAAAGGTTGATGCACGCACCAGGTGCTCTGGCCATCATTACCATTTTTGTATACACAGGACTCATCTTTTTTTTTTTTTTTTTTTTTTTGAGACAACGTTTCACTCTTGTTGCCCAGGCTGGAGTGCAATGGCACGATATCGGCTCAGTGCAACATCCGCCTCCCTGGTTCAAGCGATTCTCCTGCCTCAGCCTCCTGAGTAGCTGGGATTACAGGCGCCCACCACCACCCCCGGCTATTTTTTTTGTATATTTAGTAGAGACGGGGTTTCACCATGTTGACCAGGCTGGTCTTGAACTTCTGACCTCAGGTGATCCACCCGCCTCGGCCTCCGAAAGTGCTGGGATTACAGGCATGAGTCACCGCGCCCAGCCCCAAGGATTCATCTTTCATGAGAGATCTGAGAGAGCGAGAGAGGGGATGTCTCTTTCTTTCTACCCTGGATTAAAAATGAAGATGTCTGGCATCCTGGGTTGGAGGGATGGGAACTTCCATGTGCAGAATGTTACATGTGGAGCACGTGCTCGGAATATTTCACTCATCATCGCATTTTATCCATATGCTCCTTCTATGAAGCAGGGAGCACAAGCCCAATATATAGCTGCCAAGACTGATGTTCATGGGTCCAAGGACCTCATCCAAGATCACAGTGTCTGACATGACTAGGGTTAGGCGTAGAACCCAAATGTGTCTACCTCCAGTTCTTTGCACTAAAACACATCACAGAAGTCCACATCTCTGCTCTGTGGCTGAATGATCAGTGAGTTTGCAAACTGCTCTCCTTGTGGTAGCCTGGCCAGGGGTGGGGTGGAGGTGGGCAGGGGCTGGAACAGGAGGTACAGGTTGTGCAAGAGGCAAGGTTAGTTGGCATTTTGGTTAGCAGGTTGCAAGTGACACATCATCTTGGAGCAGTGTAAGCAAAAACAAGGAAGCCATTTATCCAGCTTGGTTGTTCTTATACTGCAAGTCACAATTTACAGTGTCATGAAATCAGCTTAGTGGGTCTCAAGAAATAATAAAGGGAAATGAGGTTGGACATGGTGGCTCATGCCTGTAATCCCAGCATTTTAGGAGGCTGAGGCTGGAGGATTGCCTGAGCCTAGGAGTCAGACCAGTTTGGGTAACATGGTGAAACCTTGTCTCCACAAAAAAATGCAAAAATTAGCCGGGTGTGGTGGTGCGCCTATGGTCCTAGAGACTGGTGTGTGTGTTGAGGGGATGGGGGATGGGGGGTGCTGAGGTGGGAGGATCACTTGAGCCCAGGAGGTTGAGCCTGCAGTGAGCTGTGATCGAGATTGTGCCACTGCACTCCAGCCTGGGAGACAGACCATCTCAAAAAAAAAAAAAAAGACAGACAGAAAGAAAGAAAATGAAATGAGATAAAGTAAAAAATATCAGAGTATATCATACATAATAAGGGTATAAGTAGTGTTTCATGGAAATTATGTCCATATAGTGATGATGCACACACTTACGTGTGTGTGTGTGTGTGTGTGTGTGTTATGGATTGCACTGTGAAATGGGTCACAGATAGAATGCTCGAGAGCTACTGACCTGTTCACAGAATCAAAGGAAAACCCAGAAGGTTTCAGGCAGCTCCAGGTTCAGGGACCAGGAGCCCCACTGTAGCTCTCTCGCTGTCTCTCTCTCTCTTTCTCTCTCTCTCTTCCAGCCTCATTCTGTCCCACTACAGGTGGGCTTTTTCCATAACAGAAAGAAGAGAATTTCAAGTCTATTACAATTCATGTCCTTCTAGTTCCTGGATTGGAGATGCAAGAGCATTTTCCCCACCAGATCCAGTAAGAAAATTCTTTGGAAAGGTCTCTCTAGGTTAACCTGTGTTCCATATCCCACTGGTCTCTGTGGCTGGGGTTATTTGGTTCTCTGATCCCTCAGTCCAGGTTACATTACCTCTCCGATAACAAAAGCAGTATTCTAGTATCCAGAAAGTCCTCACTGAGCCATGAGGTTGGAGGGAGGTAAAAAGGGTACCCAATAAAAGGGGTGCTCTTCTGTAGGAGTCAGCTGGCGAATGCCCTCTCTGGGGGAGGGGGTGTCAGGTATTAAAGGGCTGGCTACCTCTGATGTGGCCCAGAGACCCCCGATAGCGTTTTGTGAAGTGGCATGTTCCTGGCAGCTGGTCTTCCAAGGTGGGAGCCTCTGGGTGCCCTGAGTACCCTGGCTTAGCAGCCACTCTGCTCCAGCTAGAAGAATCCATGTTAGGATTTCCTATAACCTCTCTAGGCTTGGGCTTCCCATCACTCCACATGCATCACAGAGAATGGGCCCCTCTGGCAATTGCCCTCCACGACCATCGGGACTCCCTCTTTGCTGGGCTGAAGATGGTGTTATCTCCCCCAGAGGCTTTGTGTCTGTACATAGGGAACTGCTGGACATGCTCCAGGAAGCCTCACTGTGGCCAAGGATGAAAGTCCACAGGCCATCTGAATCTGTGGCTCCAGGAAGCCTTGCTGTGGCCAGGGATGAAAGTCCACCAGGCCACTGAGGAGCAGCAGACCTAGTTCTGCTCCCACTGTGGCTATGGACATGCTGTTTCCCCTGCAAGTGTGGGCAGCTGGGCTCTGGCTGGCTAGCCAGGGATCCCCTGTGACCTCATGATGCTCCAGAAGGGAGTGTCTTCCAGCAGGAGGAGCCTCAGCCTTCAGGAATGAGTGTGGGACAGGGCAGGCTCCCCTTGAAACACCAGGGCCCCTCCCTCTCTAAGCCTCCATTTTCACATCTGCAAAACAAGGGGATCTCCCTGGATAAGTCAAGGTCCTTTTCTTGGCTGTGATCCTATGACCCTTAGAATCTACCATTCTGTGATTCTTGCTGAGATGCTATGATTCAAAGAGTATTTTGCATCTCTGTCGCTTTGTATCCAAGTCTTATTTGCTCCCCAGCCCTGTGGATTGTTTTTTCAGACTGCCCCTTGCATCCCAAGAAGGCCAATCACAAAAAATATACATTGGTTTTGACACAGGATTTTTTCTTGGTCACTTTGCAAGCCGGGGACCTCTGGCCGGCAATGCCCCACCTGGGCCTCTCTTGGCCATGCTACCTGCTGCATGAGATGGCCTGCTCAGTCGGCCCACCGTGGTTGAGTCTGGCTTGTGTACCAGTTCCCGAGTTCTTGTCCTGCACCCAAGAAGAGTGAGGATACACTGACAATTGAAGAGTGAGCAAGGTGGGGAGTTTTATTGAGTGATGAAACAGCTTTCAGTGGAGAGGTGACACGTGGGTGGCCCCCCTATCCAAAGGCAGGAAAGTTCCTCCACTGTGGCTGAGTCTGGTCTTTTATAGGCTTAGAATGGGGGAGGGGCAGGCTGTAGGTAGTATTAGAAAAGGCAACATTCCACTGCTACAAAGCATTATTCAGAAAGAATCAATCGGGAAAGGGTGGGCAAACAGGAACAGATGTTCTCACTCTGGGTTGAGGGTTTCATCCAGGACCAGAAGTCTGGTCTTTCAGCCTTCAGGCTGTGTTTTGGCTTGAAGGTAGGGTTTCACCAAGGACCTGCCCCATCTGCCTGGTCCTTTGGCTGCCTCCTGTTGCTCTCAGTGTCTTCCCTCACTCTCATCCTGGCCCCCTGCCTTATCTAAGGGACTTAGCTTCAGTGGCAATGAGCTTAAGCTCTCCCACCTCTCTACCCATTGCTAGGTGACATCAGAGCAGGACCTACATCTTTTCTCCTTGGCAGTTAGCACCTAGCACAGTGAACCTTTGTTGACTCCGAGGGACCTAAATTTCACAGCTCATAGTAGGTCTGGTTCAAATATAATGAGTTGGAGAAAATCGCATGCACCAGAATCCCAGAGAGGGTGGGGGCCTGTGGAGGGGTGGGGCTTGGCAGCTAAACTGAGCAGTCCTCCATGAGCAAAGCAGGTAGGACAGAACACAAGCTCCAGTCCTTAGGAGAAGCAGTTTTTGGGGCAAGAGGGCAAACCATAGCATCTGACAATGGAGGAGGTGTGGAGCCGGGAAGAGGCCAAATGGGCCAGAAAGCACTGGCAAGTTGTGGGACCAGGGCAGAAGCCACAAAGCAAATGGGGTTTTATTTGGTTGTTGCTGCCTGGCATCCAGTCAGGATGGTCTCCCTATGGCCCTGGGATGCTGCCAGCTCCTTCTGACTGTGGGCCTGGATACTCTACTGTGGCCCTGAAGAAGGGCTGGTTAGGGTTAGGCTCAAGGCAGTGCCTGGTGACAGCCACATCTGGGCTGCCAGGAGGTCCCACACGTTTCTGCATTTAAGGTGAAGATTATTTTTCTTTAAGTCTCTAAAATTCTTAAAGCTTAGATTCCAAAATCCCATGGGAAAGAAGGCAAGTATTTGACTTGACACAGAACTACTCAAATTCCTATCTTATCTTGTGCTGTGCAGAGCTCAAGGGTTACTGTCTAAGGACAAGGCAAATTTGCAGAGAGGCCAGGAAGTCTTCTGAATTAAGGGGGAAGAAGTCGGCTGGGTGCGGTGGGTCACACCTGTAATCCCAGCACTTTGGGAGGCCAAGGAGGGCAGATCACCTGAGGTCAGGAGTTCGAGACCAGCCTGGCCGACATCGCGAAACCCCGTCTCTACTAAAAATACAAAAATTAGCCGGGGGTGGTGGTGGGCACCTGTAATCCCAGCTACTCAGGAGTCTGAGGCAGGAGAATTGCTTGAACCCGAGAGGCGGAGGTTGCAGTGAGCTGAGATCGTGCCACTGTACTCCAGCCTGGGCGACAGAGTGAGACTCCGTCTCCAAAAAAAAAAAAAAAGAAAAGACAAAAAAAAAAGAGGGAATAAGTCCCCTCGCTCCTTCCCTGTAGATGACCAGAGCAGGAGTCTTGCATCGATGCTGAGATGGACAAGGCTCCTATAGCCCCTACAAGCAGCTTGTCCCCCAAAGATCTGTACCACTGACCTGTGCTCAGAGCGCCATGGAGAGGGGAGCACACATGACAAGAAGGGGCCTAACAGGCATCTGTCCTTGGCGATAGGTGTTATGGGCTAATCTTAGGTTATTTTATTAGGGCAAGAACATACCTCTTTTGTTTCCCATTGCGGACCAGCACTGAATGCAGATGACGACATCAGATGAGCTGATCTCTCCACCTCTTTCTCTTAGAAGTTCTTTTTTTTTTTATTATTATTATACTTTAAGTTTTAGGGTACAGGTGCACAATGTGCAGGTTTGTTACATATGTATACATGTGCCATGTTGGTATGCTGCACCCATTGACTCATCATTTAACATTAGGTATATCTCCTAATGCTATCCCTCCCCACCTCTTAGAAGTTCTTCAAACCAATATTGACATGGTCTGTAGTCATTCCCTAAGGTGTGGACATGAATTCTGATTTGCACAGAAAAGCAAAGCCCTGGGACTGAATGGCGCTGGCGTGATGGCTGGGGAGAAGAGAGAATCTTCTAGCAAGGATAAGCTGAGGGCTGGGAGTCCTATGAACTTGATTACAGAGATGCTTGCCTTTATTTATACCTCAGGCTCATAATGAATGGTGCAATAGCAGTAGCCATCTTTGCTGGTCTTACTATGGGCTCTGCGATCATTGCTATATGTGCTCAGGTTAATCATTTTTTTAAAAAATGTATTTTATTTATTTATTTTTTGAGACAGAGTTTAGCTCTTATTGCCCAGGCTGGAGTGCAATGGTGCAATCTTGGCTCACCGCAACCTCCGCCTCCCGGGTTCAAGCGATTCTCTGGCCTCAGCCTCCCCAGTAGCTGGGATTACAGGCATGCACCACCACTCCTGGCTAATTTTGTATTTTTAGTAGAGACGGCGTTTCTCCATGTTGGTCAGGCTGGTCTTGAACTCCCAACCTCAGGTGATCTGCCCACTTCAGCCTCCCAAAGTGCTGGGATTACAGGTGTGAGCCACTGTGCCCAGCTGGTTAATCCTTTTAATAACTCTAAAAGGTCAGTCTGCCATTGTCCTGTTTTACCGATGAGAGGAGTGAGGCTTGGAGAAGAAAACTGTGCCCAAGACTAAATGTTCAGCAAATGTCGGAGCTGGGGCCTGAGCCCAGGCAGACTGGGTTCCGAGGCCAGAATCCTAACCATACTGCCGTGAAGTCTCTAAGAGCCAAGGATTTAGAGTCAGAATTAATCAGTTTAAATTTTGTGCAGTGTTCTCTTGTTCTCACCAAAGAGAGCAGGAAGCATCTCCCGAGAAGAAAGTGACCCAGAGAGCAGGGGGACCTCAGTCCTCTCACCATTCTCATTGCGTCTGGGGCTGACTCTGGCCTCTGCAGAGCAGTGGACGAGAGCAGCGACTCTGTGATCAGGGTGTGACATGGCCTATTCACCAGAGTGAGGCCTGCACGCCAGCCAGGGCCCCAGGCACCGAGCCATCCGGGAAAGGAAACTCCCTCCCATGATGACATTCCCAGTTACTCTTGAGCACAGACAGTCTCCAGATGTTTTTTTCACTGAACACATTCCCAGAGAGTCTTGGAAACCCGGGGCAGTGCGGGGCTGGAGGCAGAGCACTGGTCCAGCGTCGGGAGAGCAGGGCAGTCCTTCGGCTGCCCAAATGTACCGTGGCTCCTGAGCAAATCCATTCTGCTCTGAGCCTGCGTTTTCCCATTTACAGTGGGTTGAAGAGTGACCCCAAAACGTGATGTCCAAGTCCTAATCCCCTTCACCTGTGAATGTGAGTTTACTTGGAAACAGGGTCTTTGCCGATGTAATTAAGGATCTTGAGATGGAATCATCCCTGATTTAAGAACAAATCCAATGAAAATGTCCTTAAAAGAGACAGAAAAGGAGAGCACACAGAGACACACAGGGAGGAGGGCCATGTGAAGATGGGGGCAGAGCCTGAAATGACGCAGCTGCAAGCCAAGAATTGTCAGCAGCCACCAAACACTAAAGGAGGAATGGAGCACATTCTGTCTCAGAGCCTCCAGCAGGGCCAACCCTGCTATACCTTGATTTCAGGCTTTCGGCCACCACACTTATGAGAGAATAAATCTCTATTGTTCTAAGTCACGAAGCTGTGGTCGTTTGTTACAGCGGCCCTGGTAAACTAATGCACTGTCTCTGAGAGCATTGATGAGGTCAGGAAGCCTCCTGTTGGGTAGAGGAGCAACTAAGAGACTGAACTTGGCCCCCACCCTGAGGCTCACAAGTGAGTGGAGAAGCCAAAGCCTGCACAAGATCACTGCATTTCCAGCTCCAGCTTGACGCACCTTCTGCACCTAAACCCAGGCTTCCCAGGCTGGAGTGGGCTCCCAGTCTCGGGGAGTGGCCTGGCTGCCTTAGGGTGGGGTGGGAGGATGGAAACTCAAACATAGGGAAGGATGAGCCCCTCAGGAACTGCAGGGGACAGAGCAGGGTGGGTGGGATGTCAGCTCTGACAGGGCCACCCCCAGGAAGCTCAGATCTCCCACTGGGACAGGGAGCCAGGGTTAAGATTCCATCTGAGCCAGCATCTTTTCTAGGGACTGCATTGGCTCTGCAGAGGGGCTTCTGGGCTTCAGGGATTTCAGCTCGGGGGGTGCTCTGGTGAGAGCAAGGGCTGCTGAGAGCAAAGCCTAGCCCCATGCAAAGTGCTTTGCAGGACTCAGAGGAGGGGATTAAGAACCCGTGGGAACAAGGAGCCGCACAGACCAGTCAGGTGAGGTTGCAGCAGGGTCATCAGAGCCTCCGTTTCTTCACCTGAAAATGCACATAGCAAACCTTGCCTTACAAGGGCTTTATGAAATGAAATGAGCTGCTGTGTGTAAAGCGATTGCTGTACTGTTTGGCCGAAGCTTTGTTATTGAAAGCATTGCTTTCCTTACAGGCTTGAATTGCACCTGAGTTCCAAAGGAGAAGTTGACATTCTTCCAGAACATATGCCCAGTGTCTTCAACTTGAGATGGAGCTGGGATGCCAAGTCTGCAAATGTGGGTTTTGGGCTTGGACAAGCCTGGGTTTGCATCCCAACTCTGCCCTTTGCTGGGACTGTGGCCCTGGGAAAAATGAGCCTTTCTGAACTTTCCTGATGGCACTCATAAATGGGAGACAGTATCGATGTCAGGCTGTGAGCATGCATGCTGCACATAGTAGGTGTTTAATGATGTTTCTCAATAACAAATGATTTGAAATAAAGGCAGCTGTGTGAAGCACTGATAGTAAATGTGGCCAGGGGCACAGATAGCAGGCAGCTGGGAGGGAGGGAAGAGGGTCTGCTTCTTGAGGGGTGATCAGGGAAACTATATTAGTAGGAATGTTTTTGTTGTTTTTGTTGTTTTGTGTTTTTTTGAGATGGAGTTTCGCTCTTGTTGCCCAGGCTGGAGTGCAATGGTGCGATCTCGGCTCGCTGCAACCTCTGCCTCCTGGGTTCAAGCAATTCTCCTGCCTCAGCTTCCTGAGTAGGTGGGATTACAGGCATGCGCCACACACCTGGCTAATTTTGTATTTTTAGTAGCGATGAGGTTTCTCCATGTTGGTCAGGCTGGTCTCGAACTCCCAACCTCAGGACATCTGCCGGCCTCAGCCTCTCAAAGTGCTGGGATTACAGGCATGAGCCACCATGCCCGGCTGGTAGGAATGTTTTGATTGCAAGTGACAGAAATCACTTTTGGCTCATGGAATGTGACTGTACCTTGAATAAGTAAGACATACTTTTACGTCAGGGCCTTTCTTTATATTTGCTATTCCCTCTGTTGAAATGCTTTCCCCCCACCCCGCAAGGTATTTCTGTAGTTCTCTCCTTTATCTCTTTGAATCTTTATCAAATATTTCCTTTATCTCACTGAATCTTTATCAAATCTTTATCAAATACATTTAAATTAAATTTTAAAGTACATTTTAAGCCAGACGCAGTGGCTCACTCCTGTAATCTTAGCGCTTTGAGAAGTCTGAGGCAGCTGGATTACTTGAACACAGGAATTAAAAATCAGCCTGGGCAACATGGTGAAACCCTGTCTCTATAAAAAATACAAAAATTAGCTGGGCATGGTGGCATGTGCCTGTGGTCCCAGCTACTTGGGAGGCTGGGGTGGGAAAATTGCTGAAGCCCAGGAGGCTGAGGCTGCAGTGAGCAGAGATTGTGCTGCTGAACAATTCAGCCTGGGTGACAGAGTGAGATTCTGTCTCCAATAAATAAATAAAAAGTAAGGGCCGGGTGTGGGGGCTCACGCCTGTAATCCCAGCACTTTGGGAGGTCAAGGCAGGTGGATTACGTGAGGCCAGGAGTTTGAGACCAGCCTGGGAACATGGCAAAACCCCATCTCTACTAAAAATACAAAAATTAGGTGGGGTGGTGCATGCCTGTAGTCCTAGCTAATCAGGAGGCTGAGGCAGGAGAATTGCTTGAACCCAGGATGCAGAGGTTGCAGCGAGCCGAGATCATGCCACTGCACCCCCGCCTGGGCGACAGAGTGAGATTCCATTTTTGAGACAGAGTTTCACTCTGTCTCAAAAAAAAGAATCTCCCACTCTCTGCTCAACATTCTCTATGCTTCTTCTCTACTTTATTGCTTTATTTTTCTCCATAGGATTTATCATCTAACATGCTTTCTATTTTTATTATTTATCTTATTTATTGTGTTTCTATCCATCCCCTCGTACTATTGTGTAAGCTCCATTTGGTTGGATCTTTGACTTTTTTTTTAACTGCTGTATTTTTACTATTTAGGACTGTGCCTTGCACACAGTAGGTGTGGTATTTAACTTTATGTGTCAACTTGACTGGGCTTTGGGATGCCCACATATTTTGTTGGACATTATTTCTGGCTGTGTCTGTGAGGAGGTTTCTGGAAGAGATTAGCATTTGCATTAGTAGACTGAGTAAAGCAGATGGTCTCCACCACGTGAGCAGGTATCATCCAATCACTGAGGACCTGAATCACACAAAAGGGTGGAGGAAGGGGAATTTGCTCTCTGCCTCACTGCCTGAGCTGGAACATTTGTCTTCTGTCCTCAGACTGGGCTTTACCCCATCTACTCCCAGGATACTCAGACCTTCAGACTCTGGCTGAATTATAACACTGACTTTCCTGGGTCTCCAGCTTGCAAATGGCAGGCTATGGAACTTCTCAGCCCACAATCACGTGAGCCATTCCTTATAATAAATCGATCTACCTAACTCTCCTATTGGTTCTGTTTCTCCAGAGATTTCTGATGAATGTAGTAGTCATTCAATAGCTATTTGTTTTGGTTTGTCTTTTTGAGATGGAGTCTCGCTCTGTTGCCCAGGCTGGAGTGCAATGGCATGATCTCGGCTCACTGCAACCTCTGCCTCCCGGGTTTAAGCGATTTCCAGCTAATTTTTGTATTTTTAGTAGAGACGGGGTTTCACCATGTTGGCCAGGCTGCTCTCGAACTCCTGACCTCAAGTGATCCACCCACCTCGCCGTTCCAAAGTGCTAGGATTGCAGGTGTGAGCCACTGCGCCTGGCTTCAATAGCTATTTGTTGAATGAACGAATGATTTAGCAGGAAGGTCCAGAGTGCAGTTGGCTTTAGGTAGAGCTGGGTCCTGTGATTTAGAAAAAATCATCAGGGCTCCATCTTGCTGAACCTCTTGGCTGTCCCCTGTCTCTGTTTGATTTGGTTCTTCAGGCCAGGGGCCACCTGCAATCCCAAACTCACATCCTTGCTACATGGCAACGTCCTTCCAAGAACTCTATCAGAAAAGTCTCAGGGAAGATTCGGCTTTGTCTGGCTTGACCATGTGTCCATCTCTGAACTTCAGTTCAGAAGCAAAGTCACTGTGGTCAAGAGGCAGGGCGAGCCAAATGCAGCAAGTTCCTAATAGGGAAGAAGGGGAGGGTGCTGGTGAAACAGACACAACAAAAGACAACAACAGAGGGCTTCCTGGAGGGCGTGTCCTTTGTGTCAGGGCTTAGAGGGTGGTTAGGATTTGGCCATGATGTCAGAGCTTTCTACAACTGGATCCTGCCCACCTGTCTAGCATCACCATCCATCTCTTACCGCTCTGCACCCTATGATTCAGCCACTCCCTGCCCTGAACCCTGTTCAAGTTTTCACCCTGCTGTGTATGTATTTGTCTTCTTCCCCGTAGCTAGTACTCCCTTCTTCAGCAAACGGAGTGATTCTCCACATCCTTGAAGATCTGGGCGCCACACCCTTAGAGAGACACATCCATGATCCCAGGCACATGCTTACATAAGCACGTCCAGGCACACTGCACACACACACACTCTCACACATACGCACACACACACGCACACACTCTTGCACACACGGGCTCACATGCACACACGTGTGAACACAAGCACACATGCACACACACTAACACACACGCACACACGCACTTACACACGCACACACACTCACACACGCACACACACTGACACACGCACTCACATACATGGACACACGCACACACTGACACACGCACACACTCACATACATGGACACACGCACACACACTTACACATGCACACACGCACACAAACATGCACAGACACATGCACGCACACACACGCACACACGCACCCCCCCACACACACACATGCGCTCTCTCTCTCTCCCTCTCCTCTCATTTCTCCCTTCCTTCCTTCATTATAAACTGAAAAGCAACACTGCCTTTCACCCACCCAGGCAGTGTGTATATTAGCAGAGTAGAAAGAGACCCCTAGTCTCCAAATATCTCCCCCACATGTTGGCTTTGGCACCTGAAATTCAGTCAGTGTTTGTTCCCCTACTATGTGCTGGCCACTATGTTTGCACTGTGGCTGTCATGCCTGATACAGAAGAGGTACTCAATAGGTATCGCTGAGTGAATTCATGAATGAATTACTGCATCCATCAATCAATGAATAAAGACAGTGTTTCCTCCCACAGAGCTATGACAAGGGCCATAGTTAGTATCCTGCCAGGAAGAAGGGGATGGGGCCTGCAGGGAGACGTCTACTTGGAGCTGGGGATCTTGGGGAGCCTCCTTGGAGAAGGTGCCCCGTGGGGAGGCCCTCAGTGCATGGGCTTTGCACAGCTGGGGAGGGTGGAAGCAGATGAGTCCACAGGGCATAATGCCAGAGTGTCAGGGAGTCCAGTCTACAGCAGAATAGGAGTAAAGGGTCCTTCCTCTGGGGCTGAATATCAAGCCTTTCCTGGCCTTTGTTGAAAGAAAATTCCTCAGGTCAGGGGCGGGAGAAGGGTGAATTTCCCTCAGTTACTACTAAGACAAACTGTGAGGAAAAATGATACACAAGACAGTTACTTTTTTTTTTTGAGACCGAGTCTCACTCTGTTGTCCTGACTAGAGTGCAGTGGCACAATCTCAGCTCACCGAAACCTCCGCCTCCACGATTCTCTTGCCTCAGCCTCCCGAGTAGATGAGACTACAGGTGGGCACCACCACGCCTGGCTAATTTTTGTATTTTTAGTAGAGACAGGGTTTCATTATGTTGGCCAGGCTGGTCTCAAACTCCTGACCTCAGGTGATCCGCCCACCTCGGCCTCCCAAAGTGCTGGGATTACAGGTGTGCATCACCAAGGCTGGCTAATTTTTTTTTTTTTTTTTTTTTTTGAGATGGATTTCACTCTTGTCACCCAGCCTGGAGTGCAATGGCGCCATCTCAGCTCACTGCAACCTCTGTCTCCTGGGTTCAAGTGATTCTCCTGCCTCACCCTCCTGAGTGGCTGGGACTACAGGTGCCGCCACCACGCCCAGTTAATTTTTTGTATTTTTAGTAGAGACGGGCTGTCTCTACTTTAGTTGGCTGGGCTGGTCTCGAACTCCTGACCTCAGGTGATCCACCCGCCTTGGCTTCCCAAAGTGCTGGGATTAACGGTATGAGCCACCGTGACTGGCCCACCCCCAACTAATTTTTATATTTTTAGTAGAGACAGGGTTTCATCATGTTGGCCAGGCTGGTCTCGAACACCAAGACAGCTACATTTTGAAAGAGGGACATGTGGAGGGAAAATTCTAGAACACAGGGTGCATTCCTCCCAAGGTAACAGCCAAGCCGAAAGTAGAACAGAATCCTAGGCCCTTGGGGAAGGGGTCCTAAGTGTTTGCATCCTCACAAGTAGCCTGCTTTACAGTTTACAAAGCACTTTTCCATCCATTATTCACCTGTCCTGGGTGGAAGGCATTTCCTTTATTCAGCAATTATTACCAAGTACCTCCTAGTTAAGATGGTCATGAGGACTAAATGAGCCACTGCTTATAAAGGACTCAAAGCTACTGGACCCAGACAGGCCAGTGGTATGTGCTTAGGGTGTGGCGCCCCAAGTGGTGGTGGTGAGGCTGGCATTGTCATGAACTTGGCCCTGAACTGAGCAATGGCAACGCAAGATAGATACAGTACCTGCCCTCGCCGGCCTCACAGCTCTTATTCACTCATCATGTAACAGGTAAAATTTTAAATCATTTCAACGCAGATGTTTTAAAAATGTGTTTTCTTTATTATCTATAATTGAGACCAATAGCCCATGTGTATTGAGTGCTTACTCCGTACGAGGTATAGTTTTAAGTATTATAAGTAGTTCAGATTTCACAACACCCTCTGAGGCAGGTTCTAATTACTGCTATTTGACAGATGGAGAAAGGAGGAACGGAGGGATTAAGTAACTTTCTCAAGGTCACACAGCAAGCAGTGAAACCAGGATTCAAATGCAGGTAGTCTAGCTCCGGAATCCACACCCTTGACCACTGTAAGACACTGCCTCTTGTTTTTAAGCTTCTCTCACTGCAGCGTGTCAGGGGGCAACTTAGATGAGCCAACAATGGCATCTTAGTCTTCCTGGTATATACTCAGTATTTCAGTTTCCTCCTTTGGCTACCTCCACACCTACTCCTCTCCAACATGGTGCTGGATAGATGGGAGGAGAGCAAAGGCGGGAAGATGGGCCCTTGGACAGGTGTGCAGATGCTGGGGCGTCCCCAGGTCCCTGCTCTCTGCTCCAGGATGACTGTTTTGTTCTGGGGACCTGGACGCCTGCTGAGGTGTACCTGGTCCACCGGGCCTTCTGTGGTCTTGTGCTGTCAAGTTCATGGCCAGGACCTTTTGCGTCTACGTGCTGAATCTTTGGGCTCAGAGCTCTTTTGTCTCAATTCCCAGTTTTCCAGGGACCACCAGCCACCTCCACAACTCCACCTCCCCTCAGCGGAGCACCCGGGAATGTCAGACCCTGCACGATACCCTCAATCCACGGGGAACCAGCAGGAAAAGCTCAGGCTTCTCTGCTTAGATACACTGTCTCCCTTCTCTCTTTCTTCCCTTAATGATAGGATCCCCAAGTTTTAGCTGTGCCATGGCCACATAGTTAAAGAGGCTTCCCAGCCTCCCTTGCAGCCGGCTTTACCATGTGACCACATTCCAGCCAGTGAGGACTGAGCTGAGTGTGGGCCTTCCCTTAGGAGGGGATGTGCCCTCCCTTCCCAGTCCTCCTTGCTGGCTGGGGCTGGAATGTGGATGTGTGGGTCGGGGCTGAGCAATGCCACAGGAAGAACCAGGGCTGCTTGGTGGAGCAGCCCCACAAGGCTTTTAAGCCTGGGACTGTTCCTTGAGAGAGAAAGACATTTATGTGTACTTGAACTTACCATTATTAGCCTTCAGAAGAGCTCCCCAAACTGTGTCGTATCCAGTTCTGTCCCAGGCCATCTTAGTGCTCGCACATCATGGGGGCAGGGTGGAGTGGGACTCCTTCTCCTCCTCCTCCTCCTCCCCTCCTCCTCCCCTCCTCCTCCTCCCCCCCTCCTCTTCTCCTTCCCCTCCGCCTCCTTCCCTCCTCCCCTGTTCCTCCTTCTCCCCTCTTCCTCCTCCTCCTCCCCTCTTCCTCCTCCTCTCCTCTCCCTCCTCTGCTCCCCCATCTCCAAACTAAGAAGGCCAAAGATCCCCCAGCGAGGCAAATCCCAGCTACCACATAAGCCACACAACTGTCTTTTGGCTTCCCCTGCGGGGTCGTGGTGACTAATTTTAACTGACCCTGATGATTCATCCAGGATGCCTGGGAACCCCCACCCCACCCCACAACCACAGCCACTCCTCAGGGCCTGCTGAGAGCCGCCAACATTCTTCAAGTTCAAAATCATTCCCCATGCCCTCCAAGCCTACATTCCAACTGCCTCCGTGACCCATCCTCTTCACAAAACTTCTGACCCAGCCAAACTGGTCTTCTCTGGGTTTTCTGAACATTCCACGTGCATTCCTGCTTCTCTAACTTTGCTCTTACCACCTTTCATGCCTCTATTGTGCCATCAACCCTCTCCCCAGCCCCTGGAACCTGCCCCAGCGCCTGTGTATTTGATCAGTGGTGATACAGCACTCACTTGAAAAAGTATTGAGCACCTATTATGTGCTGTGTGGAATATTAGGGTGCATTCTTTATATAAATATTTTATTCCCAGCTTCCCTTTCTCATCTTTCCACTAGATTATTATTATTATCTTGGGCCATGACTGGGCAGGCAATGCCGTACAGTCACCAAACCCTGTTTCATTTCCTCCTGGGCACACAGAGAGACCTCATTCCCACAACTCCCTCCAAGTAAGCGGTGCCTGTGGCTGTGATCTGGCTGATGGAATTTGGGCAGAAGCAATGAGCACCACTTTCAGGCATACCCCCTAAAACCCCTTACAAGATCCTCCACCCTTTTTTTTTTTTTTTTTTTGGGAGATGGAGTTTCACTCTTGTTGCCCAGGCTGGAGTACAGCGGCGTGACCTCGGCTCACTGCAACCTCCGCCTCCCGAGTTCAGGTGATTCTCCTGCCTCAGCCTCCCGAGTAGCTGGGATTACAGGCGCCCACCATGATGTCAGGCTTATTTTTGTATTTGTAGTAGAGACAGGATTTCACCATGTTGGCCAGGTTGGTCTCGAACTCCTGGCTTCCAGTGATCCACCCACCTCTGCCTCCCAAAGTGCTGAGATTTCAGGCGTGAGCCACCTTGCCCAGCCCACCCTCATTTCTTTCTCCAGCGGTTTGCCTGCTGGATGCAGAGGGATGGGGGTTTTGGAAGTCCTTGGGGAGGGAGCCTGAGTGCCTGAATCACTGGGTGCAGGAGAGCCCTCTTCTCAGCTTACATTGGACTGGGAGATAAATGAGAACGAAATCTTTTGAGCCATGGCTAAGGACACATCATGAGATTTGGGGGCTGTTTGTTACAGCAGCTAGTATGCTAACACACCAGTGTAGGCAGCCATATTTGTATTTCTGCCCTCACCCAAGCCTGGTACATAAGAAGCCCTTAGTAGTCCTCCTCATCTCCCATGAGGCTTTCTTCTCATCCACCCTTCAAATGCAGGCCTGACCCTGTCGTCCCCTCTAGGAAGTTTTCTTCCCCACCTCCTCTTCTTCTTCCCAATTCTGAAATGCTGCTGACCCCCGCAAGGGTCCTTCTCTTCCTCCCTCACATCCTCCCCAGGTGACGTCTGCTGCCTCCTCTACGCTGGCACTTCCTATAGCTTAGACTGTAACCCTCAGCCCGATGGGGTAAACTGAGGCTTCTCCAAATTGCCAGATAAATTCAGGATGTTTTGTGATGCAACTCTGGAAGGGGAACCCAATCCTGTGTTAGCAGAATAAGGATGGGGCATTGATTCCCAAGAAATGAGTCCAACTCACGCTAATGGGAAGAATAGCAATATCTCCTGAGGACCAAATGGGCTTTTTTTTTTCTTTTTTCTTTCTTTTTTTTTTTTTTTTTTTTTTTTTTGAGACAGAGTCTTGCTTTCTTGCCCAGGCTGGAGTGCAGTGGTGTGATCTTGGCTCACTGCAACCTCCGCCTTCCAGGTTCAAGCAATTCTCCTGCCTCAGCCTCCCAAGTAGCTGAGACTACAGGCACCCGCCACCACACCCGGCTAATTTTTTTTTTTTTTTTTTTTGTATTTTTAGTAGAGATGGGTTTTCACTGTGTTAGCCAGGATGGTTTCAATCTCCTGACCTCGTGATCCACCCGCCTCGGCCTCCCAAAGTGCTGGGATTACAGGCATGAACCACAAATGGGCTTTTAAGGAAGAAATGGCTCTGCTGTGGGTTGTGTTTGATTTGAGAGAGACCAGAGAAAACCTAATTGCAGCCCAGGGTGACCGTGGTTTCATTTTCCCTCTCTGCTTCTCCTGCCCCCTCCCTGGGGGGCCCTCCCTGGAGCAGAGCTGACTCTGACGCCTCCTTCCTGGGGGAGCTGGGGTTTGATTGTTTTTCAAGGGAATGGTGGGAGGTGTTGGGACAGGGATGGGCGGTGCCTGGGGAGAGAGAATGTGTGTGGCTGCAGAATGCTGGGGAGGGAACAAGGAAGGAGAGGACCTGGCCTGGAGACTGCCCAGACGGGCGCCTGAGCTCCCCAGCTTCCCCTAAGGAGTAAGGTCTCCTTTCCCATGTCCTGCCACCCAGAAGTAACCACACCCATGCCCTCTCTACGCCCCTTGTGCAGCCTTCAGGGTAGACCGAGGAGAGCACCTCCCCTTCCTGGTGAAGGGAGCCCGATACACGCTGGTGCCGGCTGGCCAAGAAGGAGGTGGACAAACCTGGCGACCGCTCCCTGGCACCACCTCACCAGAGGACAGCTCACACCTCCACAGGGGTCAGAAGAAAGGAGCTGCCCTGGGGATGGCTGTGTATCCCTACAACTGCCAGGCACATGCCCCTTGAACACCCGATGCTACGTGTCCCAAAGGAAACTGGTCTCCACCCACCCCCGGCCCGTCCTCGTCCTGGGTACCCCACCTTAGTAAATGGCGCCACCATCTGCCCGGTCACTCAGCGAGAAACTCAACTCCTGGCAGCAGATGACGGGCACTCTGGTTAAATGACTCTCTCCAGCCTCCAAGTTCAACCTGCAGGGAAGCCCTGGAAATCCTGTCTCCCTCTGCCCTGCCTCTCCTTCAGCTCCGAACCCCACCCCACTCAGTACATGGCCCCCCAACAGGCTTTCAAATGTCTGCCTTCCCCAAACCAATCTGTGGTTTTAAAAGAAGTAAGGTCAGGTACAGTAGCTCATGCCTGTAATCCCAGCACTTTGGGAGGCCGAGGCAGGCGGATCACCTGAGGTCAGGAGTTTGAGACCAGTCTGGCCAACATGGCGAAACCCCGTCTCTACTAAAAATAAAAATAAAAAATTAGCCTGGGTGTGGCGGTATGTGTCTGTAGTCCCAGCTACTCCGGAGGCTGAGGTAGGAGAATTGCTTGAACCCGGGAGGCAGAGGTTGCAGTGAGCCAAGATCACACCACTGTACTCCAGCCTGGGTGACAGATTGAGACTCCGCCTCAAAAAAAAAAAATCAGGACAGTGGTTGTCTCTGGCAGGTGAGGGGGCCAGGATTGACTGGGGAGGGGCGTGCAGGAACTTTGGGTGATGACAATGTTCTCTAACTTAATACAGTTTGAGCTACACAAGTGAGTGTAGTTGTCAAATCTCAGCAAATGTATATTTAAGACATGTGCAATTAAATGTAAATTTTACATCTTACAGCAAAACAGAAAATGCAAAGAAATTTTGAACTCTTGTTCATGTCATGTATTGTGGAGTTTCTGCAGGGAATCAGATAGATGTCTGCAATTTAAAATGCCACAAAACAAGAAGAATGGATGGGTGCGTAGAGGGAGAGAGAAGCATGATTAAATTCATTTAGTAAAATGCCAGTGGTAGAGTTTAGGTGGTTTTCAGTGTGAGATTCTTCCCACTTTGCTGCATGTATGAAAATTTTTATAATAAAATGTTAGGGAGAAATGCCTCCTGGCTCCAGACGTGTCCCCTCCATTATGTTAATCACATCTGCAATTAGTGTGATGTTTCTAGGACAGCAAATCAGACCATGGCTCTCCCTTGCTCGGAAACCCTTCTGTGGCTCTCCCTGGGGACACGCCCCCACGTCTGTGGCTCCCAAGGCTGTCCATGCCTGGCCTCTGTTTATTTCTGTAATCATCACTCTCCCCTTCACTTTTTCCACCACGGAAACACCAAAATATTTATGCGTCCTGCATAGCATGCTATTTTATGTCTCCTATGATAGAAATCGCTCATTTTCATCTAATATACCTTCCCCACTTCTTTCTAAGTAGTAGAAACTCCAATTTTTATCTGGTGATGTGGCCATGTAGAAATAAAGACTACATATCCCAGCCTCCTCTGCAGTGAGGTACGGCCATTGGATGCGCAGCAAGATAAAGTATTAATTACAACTTCTGGAAAGTGTTCTTTAAGATAGGGGCACAACCTTCTTCACCCCTTTCTCCTTCCTGCTGGTTGGAATGAGGGCACGATGGCTGGAGCTCAAGCAGCCATCTTGGATGAGGAGGTGAAGGCCATATGTGTAACATGACAGAGCACTAAGGTAGATTGAAGCTGGGTCCCCGAGACTGTGGTGTGCCATGTCAGCTCTGAATCCCCTGCCTCTAGACTTCTATATGAAAGAGAAATTAATACTCTCTTGCTGAAGCCATGTTATTTTGAGTTTTCTGTTACCAACAACCAAACCTAGTCCTAACACACCAACTTCTATGTCCTTGAATGTTTTGATCCTTGTACTTGGAATGTCTTTTCCTCACTTTGCTCCTAACAAACTCCCATTGATCCTTCAAAACCTTGCTCGGACATCACCTTCTCAGTTACATGTTAATTCCTTGGTGGAATTAATGTTTCCCTACTCCATGATTTCTCTCTACCTTATATCACAGTGTGCAATTATTGAGCACTTACTATGTATCAGGCACCATGCTGGGTGCTCCCTCTTTTAATCCTTACAATGATATTTAAGATAGGTTATTCTTTTCAAAATCTCCACTTTATAGATAACAAAAGCATAGACCTTGGAAAGTTATGATACTTTTCATGGATCACAAAAGTAGTGCATGGTAGGGCCGAGTCCAGGAGTCTCATTCCAAAGCCTTTAGCCCTATGCTGAATGACCTCGATTATTGCCCTTATCAGAAAGTACTGACAACATTAGGTCACACATCCCTCCCTCCTACCACCTCTCAATGCTCGGAGGCCAGCCGGTGTCACCTTAGTCCCCCCAGAGCCCAGCACGGAGCCTGGCACACACCAGGTGAGCATGAGTGCTGTGGAACGTGACTATCCGTTCTGAGCCCCCAAGTCCTTGTCTTGGTCCTTGTGCTTGGAATATCCCTTCCTCACTTTGCTCCTAACAAGCTCCTATTGATCCTTCAAAACGCTGCTCAGGCATCACCTGAGCCTGGCACATAAAGTTCTTCCCAGTAGGTGTCACCTCCCACAGCCCCACTTGCCCCACACGTCTCTGGCAGGCTTTTGCAGCACTGTTTGGTACCTCTGCTTAGAACACTCTGCAGAACGCTCCCTCATACGTTCACATCCAGGCCAGCCATCACCTCTGAACAAACTCCTATTGATCCCTCAAAGGCCTTCACCTCCCAGGCCTAGGCACTGCCTTCTCACCCTTCCAAAGCCTTTGCTGAAATGTCTGCTGCGTTCCAGATCCCACTGAGGTATCTCCTCCACTGGACTTTGAGTCCCTTGAGAGCAAGGACCATGGATACCTTATATCACCGTGAGCAACTATTGAGCACTTACTGTTGTTAAAAAAGTTTAACCTCTAGCCGCCTCCTTACATATTTTAAGTTGGGCCTAAAAGTTTTTCTGTACATCATGAACTATAACAAGTGGAGGTATAGACAGACTATAGCCTACACTGTGCCAATCACCGCATTTTGGCCAATCAAATGCAGCCAACTGTTCGAACCATGTTCAGATAAACCAGATGCCAACCTGTAACCAATCCAGCTGTTTCTGTACCTCATTTCTGTTTTCTGTATGTCACTTTCCTTTTTCTGTCCATAAATCTTCCACTATTTAGCTGTGGAGTCTCCAGACCTACTCTGGCTCGGGAGGCTGCCCTGCTCGCAAATCATTCACTGCTCTGTTAAACTCCTTTACATTTAATTTGGCTGAAGTTTTTCTTTTATCACTATGTATCCACCACATTCAGTGCTCCCTTTTTCTTAATTTTATTTATTTATTTATTTATTTATTTATTTATTTATTTATTTAATTTATTTTTAGAGACAGGGTCTCACTCTGTCACCCAAGCTGGAGTGCAGTGGTGTGATCTCGGCTCGCTGCAACTTCTGCCTTCTGGGTTCAAGCGATTCTCCAGCCTCAGCCTCCTGAGTAGCTGAGACTACAGGAGTGCACCACCATGCCTGGCTAATTTTTGTATTTTTAGTAGAGACAGGGTTTCACCATGTTGGCCAGGCTGGCCTTGAACTCCTGACCTCAAGTGATCCTCCCTCCTCAGCCTCCCAAAGTGCTGGGATTACAGGCGTGAGCCACTGCGCCTGGCCAGTGCTCCCTTTTTCAGTCCTCATAGTGACATTTGAGGTAGGTTATTCTTTTCAAAATTTCCATTTTACAGATTTAAAAAAAAGCGCCCTTGGAAAGTTATGCCACTTTTCCTGGATCACAATATTAAAAGATCACAATTCATCTTCTAATAATTTGGCAAGCCATCCATGGTCTTCTAAGCAAGGCGCCATGAATATAACGAATATAGAGACAGAAAAAGACCCCTCCCCACTGGCTGGGTTGAGGGACTGGAGAGCCCAGATGGAAGGGCAGAGGTGCAGGCTTTTTTCCTTGTTGCCACTAGATGGCAGTAGGGCACCCGTTGTCAGCCCTGGGGCAAGGTCACCGACTGTCTTTGCCTTTGCCTCCAGCAAGCCAAAACCCTGGGCAGACTCAATCCAAAAATAAACAATCAAAGAGCATGTTGGCCTGGTCCTTTGCTAGGTACTGTAGAGCAGGTGAGAGAGTGAGGGGGAAGGACTCCAAATTAGACCAGTTCTTAGCCATGAAGCAGAGACTCTGAAGCCAGACTACCTGGGTCCCAATCTTGGGCTTGGTATTTCCTCGCTGTGTGACTCTGGGTAAGTTACTTAACTTCTCTGTGCCTCAGTTCTCTCAAGTGTAAAGTGACGCTTGTAAAAGTGTCTCCTGCAAAAGAAAGGGCTGCTGGGAGGAGGGGTGTCCCTGGTGTGCACTAAGTACAATATGAGTTTGTGGCTTTTATATTCCTGCCTCTGAGGCACTCACAGGGTAGAAATGGGGAGAAGCCAGTCCAGACAGGTGCACCCCAAAGCAAGAGAGATGAGAAGGCTGCACCCATGCTGGAGCCAGAGTGGGGAAGAGGGCACATCTGCTGGGAATGGGTAGAGCGGGGTGGGAGGAGTCCTGGCAGGGGAGCCGTTCCTATGCAATGGGCCTTGAAGGAAGGGGAGGATGGGTGGATGTGGGGTTAGGTGACTGTGGAGGCGGGGCTGGTCTCTGTCCAGGTGACAGGTGGATGGTGGAGCTGGAGGAGCCACTCGGAGCCTCCAAGGCTGGGGAGGGTGGAGGGGGGAGGCAGGTCGGTGTCCCAGGCCACACCTGTTGACTAAGGGATTAGGATGTTGTGTCCCTGCCAGCCCTCCTCCAATAAGCCCCTCTGGGCCTGCAGGGAGAGGAGGAGCCTTGCCATGTAAACTGTATTTTTAGTTCCCTGTGCCTCTCCCCGGCTGCTATAAGACACCTCTCCCCACCCCCAGCCCTGGCCGCTTGGCTGGAGGCTCTGCGAGGACAGCTGGGGAGAAGGGGAGCTGTGGTCAGTATGATGGATGCTGAGGGGCTGGAGAGGAGCAGCCCTGGTGGGTGGGTTCCTGGGAGTCTGGAGCAAGCTTGGGGGTTCTGCTGCCCCATCAAGGGCCTTGAGCAGGTCCTGCAACTCCCAGGCCTCAGCCCTGCTCTGAGCCCTGGCCTGGCGCTGGTCCAGGAGGGTAGACTCTGCCAGGGAGGCACAAGCTAAGCTGGGGGTGGGGTGGGAGGGCCTGCTGGCAGGAGGGAGGCACTGCCCAGACTGGCCTCCAAAGGCTGGTTCCCAGAAGGAGGAGGAAGAGAGTAGTGAAGATCGTGGGGAGTCCTGGCTTTGAGGAGCCAGAGTTCTCCTTCTTGCCACATCTTTGATCTCCCTTGGTGGTGTCTTAAGCCCAGATTTACCAAAGGGAATTGTCAGCTGTCCAAGGGCTAGCAAATTCCTAGGTCACCTAGATTGGATTTTCTGACCATAAAAACTGTGGGCCAGGTGCACAGCTGCCTGAGGGGCTCAAACCTGTGCAGGTGGGTGCTGGAATCCCCTTTGCTATAGCGTTCTCTTTGTGTGCATGTGACCAGAGGTGAGAGTGGCTGGAGACCGAAGATGGCAGAGCCCGTCTTTCTCCACCAGACTGAGGCCCCCGACTTGCCTTGCCTGGGGAGGGTGCTCAGTGGAAGTCCTGGGATGTTCAGTCTGGACAAGAAAAGTCTTGGGTGAGCCTGCTCCTTCTCTTGTGAGGCAGACTCAGCTGGGCCTCTATATCCCCAAGGAGCAGGCGGAGCTGCCGCAAGGAAGTGCACGTGACATGGAGGCATCTTTTGGTTCGACATAAAAAAGGATTTTTAAAGCTTTAGGTAGTGAGCTCACCACTCCCAGGAGTATTCAAGCAGATGCCAGATGATGATCTGTAGGGAAAACTATGTTTAGTGGGAAATTGGACAAAATACCGTTGAAGGCCTCTTTTAGTCACAAGATACTATGGCCCTATAATTCTAGATTTCTCTGCTTCTAGCTCTCTATAAGTCTGGAATCTAGAACCCAAGTTTCTCCGGTGCTGAAAAGTTGAAGACTTTGACACTCTAGAATTTTAATTCTGGGATCTCAAGATTCCAGAATTGGGAGCCTTGAGGATGATTCTACAAGTCTCAGTTTTGGATTCAAAGGATCCTGTGATATGAAAGGGAAAAAGAGGAGGTCTGACTTGGTGGGATCCAGTTTTGCCCCACTGGGTATCAGACTAATGTGCCCTGCATTCGTGCGTGTGTGTGCGTGTGTGTAGCATGAGCGTGTAAGGCTGTAGAAAGTTTTGCACACAAAGGCAGCCTGGCTTTCCTATCATGTGTCTGCAGCTTCTCTGCCCTGGCCATAATGAAGGCTGTCACAGGGATAATAATAGCCCCCAAACAGAGCTGGTGACTCCAGGTAGCCATAGCAACTGTGAGGTAACGCTGCTCTGTTGTAGAGATGTGTGAGTACAAACAGATGTCGGTGCCTTCCCATTAGCTTAAATGGTAAAACTTAAAAGGTCCATCAACTTCAAAGCTACAGGTTTCCATGAGCATGCCAGTTAATGGGGGCGCTTGCCAAGCGGGTGATAGCTTCATATTAAACATTTCAGCATCAGTAATGGGTTGATGAGATTTTAAATGCTCAGGCCATCCCCAGACAACTCAGGAGGCCAGAGACGGGAGAAGAGCTGGGATTCGGGTAGTAATCAGCCCTGCCCTGCCCCGCACCCTCAGGGGTGTTCTGACACTCTCGGGAGGGCACAGGCCAGAGAGCATTTGAAAACCGCACATTGCGTCTCAATCTCCAGGAGTCTCAGATCTGCCTCTTGGCCTTCCCCAGCGCACCAGGCAGGGGGCCCCAGGTCAGATGTGGCACAGCTCAATGCCATCTCCTTCTTTCTGCCCTCCTCTCTCACACCCTGGACTCACCTCCAGCGAGTGACCAGCAGTAAGGGTCAAACTGCTGAGAGTCTGAGACCGGGGCAGACCCTCTCAGAGTTGTCTTTCCTTCTGAGGCTGGGCCTGGCACAGACTGGGGCCTCAGTAATGGGCTTTCAAATGAATGAATGAACAAAGGAACAAACAGATGACTGACTGACTGAATGAATGAATGAGATCCCCTTTGGCATCCCCATGGCTTCTTTTTTTCTTTTTGAGATGGAGGCTCGCTCTGTTGCCAGGCTGGAGTACAGCGATCTCGGCTCACTGCAACCTCTGCCTCCCGGGTTCAAGTGATTCTCCTGCCTCAGCCTCCCAAGTAGCTGGGACTACAGGTTCGTGCCACCATGCCCAGCTAATTTTTGTATTTTTAGTAGAGACAGGGCTTGAACATGTTAGCCAGGATAGTCTCGATCTCTTGACCTTGTGATCCACCCACCTCAGCCTCCCAAATTGCTGGGATTACAGGCGTGAGCCACCACGCCCGGCCCCCCATGGCATTTTAGCTACTTATTTTGTTACTGCTTCTTCCACTGCTAAAGAGATGGGCCTTTGGAGGTCGGCTGGCCTAGCATTTGGGGTTGACTTCTGGAATGGTCACTAGGGAAGGGGCGCCAGAGGTGCAGCCGGTGCCTCTGACCCTTTTGGTCGCTAGGAGTCAGCCGACTCAGTACACAGGACTCACTGAATGGAGACACAAGGCTCCTCCAGGGAGTGGCGGCTCATGGCAATCCTAGAATGGTCACCAGCCAGGCTTTAGAGACCCACACAGAGGGCGTTCTGACCCAAAGTTGCACTGGGGAACTCCAAGTTTGGGGATTCTTTGAATTTAACTCTTTTTCTAGCTACATTTCCTATTATTTGTCCAATTCTTACCAAACATCTCTGTTCACATTCTGAAGCTGGGATCTGACTGGCAGAGCTAGTAGATGCTGACTATTCAGATGGAGCCCTGACATTGGCTTTCTCAGCTTGGCTGTGACTGGCAGCAGGTTTGCGGGAGAACTGTGTGTCCCAGAACATGACTGGCTACACCTGCACCTCAGCAAGATTGGGGCAGGGCAGTTATCTTCAAAAAGCTGTGTAGGTGGGGCAGTCATTACTGACAAATCCAGTGCAGACCCAGGATGGCCCAAACACTGGCTTATCCTTTCTGAATCTCATCTCCCACAGCTGTAAAGCGGGGTGGTGCTCGCTACCTCACAGAGGTGTTGTAAAGATTAGATGTAATCTTGCCAAGCAGCCACTTTGTAAACTGTATAGTCTTATGCAGATGGAAGGAAGGGCCTGTGCCTACCTTGATCATAGCACTAAACAAACTGTACTGTATTTTCATTCCTCTTAGTTATCTCCCTAAAAAGACTCTGAGTTCCTTGAACACAGGAAGGTGTTTTATTTGATTTTGTTATCCTCAGCATGTAGCAGTGTCTGACACACAGTAGGTGCTCTATCACTGTGAGAGGGATGGATGGATGGGTGGAGTTACAGATGGATAGAAGGATAGATGGAGGGATGGGTGGATGATGGATGGATAGATGGATGGAGGGGGGATGATGAATGGAGGGATAATGAGTGGATGAATGAGGGAATGGGTGGATGGATGGATGGAGGGATGGAGGAACAGATAGATAGATGGAGGGATGGGTGGGTGATGGATGGATAGATGGATGGAGGGAGGGATGATGAATGGAGGGATAATGAATGGATGAATGAGGGGATGGGTGGATGGATGAATGGAGGGATGATGGGTGGATGAATGAATTGAGGGATGGATGGATGAACACATGGATGGATGGATAGATGGATAGATGGAGGAACTGGTGGATTTTGGATGGATGGGTGGATGGATAGATGAATGAATGCCTGGATAGACAAAGAGATGATGGATAGATGAATAGATGAATTAAGGGATGTCGGATAGATGGAGGGATTGATAGATGTTGGATGGATGGGTGGTGGATGGATAGATGAGTGAATGCATGGATAGACAAAGAGATGATGGATGGATGAATTAAGGGATGACAGATGGATGGATGGATGAGTAACTGGATGGACAAGTGGATAAATGGATAGATGGTTGAATACCTGAATGGATTGAAGGAGGATGCATGGATGTAAGATAAGGCTAATCATCCTCCACTCTCTTTCTTTGCAAAACCATCCACCCATTTACTCAATAAACATTTATTCAGTTCAAACTTGGCACAAAGCACCATGTGAGGCCCAAGAGATACGTGGGTTAATAAAACAGAGCTCCTGCCCTCCTGAAAACTGCAAAGAAAGGGGCGTGGCTTCCTGAGTTCAAATCCCAACTCTGCCAGCGACTAGTTGTACATCAGTGATGTTTCCCTACTTTCTCTCAATTAAATAGGGATAATGTCAGTACCTATCACATTGGGAGGTCTTGCGGGGATTAAATGAGTTACCAAATGCCAAGTGTTTGGGACAGGGCCTGGCACCCAGCAAAGTCTCTTGTGAGTGCTGGCTGCTATTATCCTAATGGAGAAGATGGCATGAAAACCAGGAAATAGGATGCCCTTTGGGAAGCAATGCAACAGGAACTTACACAAAGAAAGGAAAGGAGGAAGCAATTAGTGGTGTCTCAAAGGAGTATGTCAAGAAAAACTTTTCAGAGGGAAACCTTTGAGCAGGGTCATGAAAACAGGAGTTCTCTAAGAGATTGTGGACTTGCCTGGGACCACCTGGCTATAAGCACAAAACCATCCGGTTCCTTTCTGTCACTTCTGGCTGGGTGAGGGGTCTCTGGCAAAGGGGCAGAAGGTGCGTGAGAGGTTGCGAATGGCCAGGACTGTCCTGGGGCCAGCCGGGGCACCTGGTGGCCAAGCTTAGAAACATGACAGGTCCTCTTGGGAGGGCTGACCGCAGGGAGCGTTGGGTTTCAGGCTGCTGGCGTCGGCTTCTGTGGTGCCCTTTCTGTCGGCTATGAGAGTCCAGACAGTGCCCAACCTCCTCCCCTTCTTTCCACACGCACAACCACCCCACCCCCTGTGGCCTGAGCTGTCCTGCCTCGCCACAATGGCACCTGCCCTAAAATAGCTTCCCATGTGAGGGCTAGAGAAAGGAAAAGATTAGACCCTCCCTGGATGAGAGAGAGAAAGTGAAGGAGGGCAGGGGAGGGGGACAGCGAGCCATTGAGCGATCTTTGTCAAGCATCCCAGAAGGTATAAAAACGCCCTTGGGACCAGGCAGCCTCAAACCCCAGCTGTTGGGGCCAGGACACCCAGTGAGCCCATACTTGCTCTTTTTGTCTTCTTCAGACTGCGCCATGGGGCTCAGCGACGGGGAATGGCAGTTGGTGCTGAACGTCTGGGGGAAGGTGGAGGCTGACATCCCAGGCCATGGGCAGGAAGTCCTCATCAGGTAAAAGGAAGAGATTCCATTGCCCCTGCCACCCACACCCTAAGATCAAGGGTGTTCAGCTGCAAGGTGGAAAGTTTGCACGTGGGGTAGGTCAGTTGGCTGCATTAGTTAAGGGTGTTAGAACGGTCACTTGCTTTTTCTTTGCTTTTAAGTGTCAGGGATTGGACTCAGGAGAGGGAAAGGAGCCATTTCAGGCTGATGTCAGCAGCTGGAGGAAGCATGAGAATCAAACCTAGGATGCTCAGAGTCCACCAGGAAGAATTTTAGAATTATAGACAGTCAGAGTTAACAAGGGTCCTGAGAGATTTTGTACAGCCACCTCTCTTACAGGATGAGGACAAAAAGGGACTGAGAAGGGGAGGACATTTCCAGAGTCACAGCTCATTAAATGCTCTTAAAGTGTCAAGGTTAAGACATGCTCTTCAAGGGGAGACAGATCTGGTTCTAGACTTGGCTCTGCCACTGAGCCACTGGGTGACCTTTGGGAAAGTACTCAACCTCTCGGAGCCTCAATTTCCTCTCCTGTACAGTGAGGGGATATCCTAATATCTATATCCTAGAGGAGATGTGAGAATTAAATAAAATAATGCATGCAAGAGGCCTGGCATGGTTCCTGGCATATACTGAGTCCTAGAAATGTTAGTAGCTATTACTGATGAAGCCCAGGCTAGGGACCTTTCAAAGCATTGCAATTAGAGAACAGAAGATAGAGGCTCATTAGTGACCTTCGATGTTGAGTATGTCTCTAGTTTGAGAGGTCTGAATGATGTGGTCTGCAAGTATATCCTGCCTTCTACCACAAGGGATTCCAGAATACACCAAAGAAAACAAAATTCTGAGGTTTGTAAATAGAGGGTGGCTGTGGTTTGTACATAGAAGCTCATCTCCTCGTTGCCTTCTATCCCAAAGGTGATACACTCTTCTCTTGGCCCCTTCCCTCACCATTCTGAGCTGGTTCCCTCAGAAGTCTAATAGGTTAAGAATCAACGTTTCTGCCAACGGGAGGAAGGAAGTGGGCGCCGGGGTTGCCACAAGTGAATGGATTGTCTTTGGCACTTTAATTTGCAGATTAATTTCTCCTTATTTGTGAGCCAGAGCCAATTTTCCTCTTCCACTCCGTCGTCCTTTGGGTCTCCCTTGGGCTTTACCCATTTCCAGCTTCCGTCTACCTCGGGAGCATGGCTGGTCCTGGAAGCTCCGTTATCTAAAATTTGAGCCGTTGGTGATCCGTGCTAGAAACACTTGAGGAAGAAGAGTTGAGTTTTCTGTTGACTGTAATGGCATCGTAGTGTGTTTATGTCTTTCTTCTCCTGTCCCTGTCATCTGGCTGCAACAGGCCCTGTTGGATTGCACAAAGTGCTCCCCCGACCAACACACACACACAAATTGACATCAACTCCTGGGCCACAGATATGCCATGTGACCTTGGACAAGTCTCTCCACCTCTGGGCCTTATTTCTCTGCTGGTTGAGCGAAGGGATTGTCTTCCATGGTCTCCGAGATCCCGTCCCACGCTCATGCCCTAGAATTCTCTGAGTCCTTGATGCACTTTTGCCTTTGGCGAGGAGGCAGGACAGTCAGGCGTGGAGGTAGGAGACCAGAGTTTGCAGAGCAGAGGTCTTTCCAAGGTGATTTGGGAGCTGCCAGACCTAAGGCAGTGACTTGTACGTCTTGAAAGAGACTCAGGGTGTTGCATCATCAGGGAGGATCACGGAGGTTTGCCGGGGGCCGGGAGCCAGGGATAAGACATAATGCCTAGGGTTGCTGGTCCCTGAAAGGTCCCAGAGGCCTGGTGCCCTGTCACGTCTTAGGTTGTGGGACATGCAGAGACTGTGCCAGCTGGTTCTGCCCTCTCAGTATTTGGGGTACAGGGAGGATGGCCTCCCTGGGGGCAGGGTGGAGGAGGCTCATGCCCAGGACTGCAAATGCCACCCGTGAGAGTTGGCATCTTGACTTTGTTCTAGATACTGACTCTGGATTTTCTAACTGACCTTGAAAGGTTATGTCTCCAATCTTCTGATTGTAAAAGAGGGCAAATTCCATGAAGCCCAGTCTGTAAAACACTGAGGCCTTCACTGCACGTACACAAACATAAAATTCTAGAACACAGAAGCTGGAAGGTCACTTGGAGATTCTGGCTCCAGGAGTGGGGCTTCGGAAGGGAGGGGGCTGCTGAGTGGGCTCCACACCCCTGTTTTTCCTTTCTTTACTCAAACCTTTTTTGTTTTATTTACTTTGGCTGTTTTGGGGAGCGGGGGGAACAAAGGATTTCAAGGTCATAAAATGTTTGAAAATCACCAGTGGTGGTCACTACTTCTCATTACAGGGAGGAACTGGGCCTGAGAGTCTCCACCGGTTAATGGCAGCCACAGGCAGGACCAAAAATTCCTGGGTGATGGTGATGATAATGATAATGATAATGATAATGGTAGAGATGATGAGGAGGAGAAAGACAGCAACCATTTATTCAGCACATACTGATTGCTGGGCTCTGTTTAAGTGTTTCACTCACTGAAGCCTGACAACAATCTTATGAGGTAGATATGATTATGATCACCACATTTAACAGAGAGGTTAAGTAACTTACGCCAAGTCACACAGCAAGTAAGAAAGGAGCTGGAATTCAAATTCAGGCAGCTTGGATCCAGAATCCTTGCTCCTTTTTTTTTTTTTTGAGATGGAGTCTTGCTGGGATTACAGGTGCATGCCACCATGCCTGGCTAATTTTTGTATTTTTAGTAGAGACTAGGTTTCGCCATGTTGGCCAGGCTGGTCTCGAACTCCTGACCTCAGGTGATCTGCCCGCCTTGGCCTCCCAAAGTGCTGGGATTACAAGCCAATGAGCCCGGCCCAGAATCCTTGCTCTTGACCACTATGCTATACTGCCCCATGACCTTGCCACACGCAAGACGGGCTGCCACCCACGCTCTGGTTCTTTTATTCTAGTAGAGCCAGAGGGGTGTTCATGGATCTGACAATGTGCTCCATGTTCCATGTGAGTGTCCAATTGGGCCTCAGTTCAGAGAACAGCAGGAAAATGGCCTCCCTTCTCTCTGACTTGGACTGAAGATCTGTCTGATGAACCAGGCCCACTGACAGCAGGGTTGAAGCTGGAAACACAGGCCAGCGGGGCTTTCTGAAATACTAGAGCAAACGCCCTCCGTCCATTTCCACAGGCTGAGGGGCTTTCATCTGTTCATTTTCCGGATCAGGCAAATCCAGGAGAATGGCCTTCTGTGGCTGCCTGGGGGGCTCCTAGCTGCAAGGCCTGGGCCCACAGGAGGCAGGCAGCTGTGTGGTGCCGGAATGATCTTGCGGGGAGACAAATTAGCCCGATTCTGCTCTGCTGTTTAAAGTAAATATGGGGTGGGGTGGGGTGGCTCAGGCCTATAATCCCAGCACTTTGGGAGGCAGGATCGGGGAATCGCTTGAGTCCAGGAGTTCGAGACCAGCCTGAGCCACATAGTGAGACCCCCCTTCTCTACAAAAAATAAACAAAATTAGCTGGGCGTGGTGGTGTGTGCCTGTAGTCCCAGCTACGCGGGAGGCTGAGGTAGGAGGATCACTTGGGCCCAGGAGATTGAGGCTCCAGTGAGCCAAGATCACACCACTGCACTCCAGCCTGGGCAACAGAGCAATACCGTGTCTCAAAAAAATATTAATAAAGTAAATATGAGCTCTCTCCCTGGCTGTCTGGTGTTGAGTGGAAAGAAAGGCATTGGCGGGTCTAGACCCTTTTGGTTTACATATGGATGAGCAATGATCCAGAGAGGCTAAGTGACTTCAACATCACAGAGCACATTGGCGCCAGAACTGGGACCGGAACTCAGCTTCCGTAACTGTCAGTCCCATGTTCTCTTCCCTAGATATCAGAGGGCAGGGGCAGGCCCCAAAATGTCTGAGACCCCCAGCTGCCTTGTGGCCCAAATTCTTGGCCCTGCTCTGCCTCAGACAGTCTGCTTTCAGCGTCCTGACCTCTGACCATCGCCTGTGCATGCCAGGTCTTGCATCTGTCAGGCGGGAGTTCAAGGATCATTGTCGCCAGATAATAATAGTCAGGAGCTCAGGGACCCTTGGATGAAAGGTGTCAGAGACAAGCCGTCAGTGACGCACGAGGATTTGGATAAGGTCCTGGAGCGAGGTGGCAATGTTGGGCACGGCGGCAGACCATGCCCAACATGGGGGAAGGGAGTGTATGTGGTTCAGGCTTGTGCGTGTCTCTGTGTGTGTGTGCAGGTGAGTATGGCGTGTGCTGGGATATATTTATGTGTACCTCTGTGTGAGTGTGCAGGCCCATATGTGAGTGTGCACACACATCTGTGAGAGCCTGCATGCATGTACACGTGTGAGGTGTTGATACATGTCCATGTAGGTATCAGTTTGCCTGTAAATATCTCTGTGTAACAATAACAAAGTCCGAATAGTCATCAAGAGTATAGACATGAAGCCAGACTGCCTGGGTTAAATCCCCAGCTAGTTAGTCTTTCGGTGCCTCTGTTTCTTCCTCTGCAAAATGGCGTCTACCCCATCAGGATTTTAAAATCAGTTAATATGGCTGGGCGCCTGTAATCCCAGCACTTTGGGAGGCTGAGGCAGGCGGATCACAAGGTCAGGAGATCGAGACCATCCTGCCTAACATGGAGAATTCTGAGAATTGCTCAAACCCAGGAGGTGGAGGTTGCGGTGAGCAGAGATTGCACCACTGCACTCCAGCCTGGGCAACAGAGCCAGATTCCATCTCAAAAAAGAAAAACAAAAAACAAAAAAACCATGAACTCATTTTCAGGTTGAGGAGCTCAGCATCCTGGTTGTGAAATACCCTCCTCATAAAACCCTGGGATGGAGACTACGGGGATCAGGTGCTTCCTTGTGACAACTTCTGGGCATGGTGGCTCAGGGCGCAAACTGGAGTGTGGCCACAATACATACTGTGTACTTTTACAAGGATGTCACAGAGCCTGGGTATCATAAAAGAGGAGCTTTTCAAGGAACTGAAACCATTAGACAGGAGAGAGAGCCCTGGGCAGACAGGGTTGCCCGTGCCAAACATTTCAGCTGTGGCACAAGGGAAAGGGTGGGAGTTATGAAACTGTTCCATTTTGGGTTTAGGTCTGGGCTCTGCCGCTAGCTAGCCAAGTGACCTTGGCCACTTATCTCTGTGGTCTTCCATGAGTAAAAGGCGGAAACTCACTCCTACCCAGAGGGCAGGTCTGACTCCCTTTAACCAGCACCCACCTGCTCACAGCAGGAAGGACTGAGGTCTAAAGCTGGAGGTGGGCAGGAAGGACTGAGGTCTAAAGCTGGAGGTGGGCAGGAAGGACCAAGGTCTAAAGTTGGAGGTGGGCAGGAAGGACCGAGGTCTAAAGCTGGAGGTGGCTGCTCAGAGTCCCAGCAGAGGCCTCTGGGGCACCTCACTGAGTGCCTGGCAGGAGTGGGTGCCTGTCTCAGGGCTGGGTTGAGTTGCTCCCACCAGGACCCTTCGTCATCTGCACAGTGAGGGGACTGGGAGGTTCAGAGAGTCACAGCTTGGGCTCAAAACAAGCAAGAGGTTTCTGAGTGTGAGGATTGCTCTGGAGTGGAATGGCCCTCACAGGTAGGAGTGAGCCTCCTGTAGCTAGAGGTATTTAAGCAGCTGAAGGACAATCCCTGGGCAGGAAGCTGCAGAGATGGTCGCAGCGTGGACTAGAACTGCTGTTTTGGTCACTCAGACCTCATTCCAGCCTGGCTTCTCTGGACAGCACCCCTGCAATAGTGAGCTGGTGACTTTACGCCTCAGAACCTCGGTTTCCACATCTGTAAAATGGGAATTATATGACACTCACTATGTGCCAGACACCCTGTTGGTACATAGCACACACTATCTCACTTAATCCTTCAAGTAGGGACAAGTTATCCCCATCCCTTATATGAGGAAGCTGAGGCACAGAGAGGTGAAGTGAATGGCCCAAGGTCACACAGCTGGGAAGACAGGGAGCTAAACTTGAACTCTAGTCTGGCTGCCCCCAGACCTCACACCGCACCTCCCATGCCGACTCCAGCCTTCCCTGTGCCCACAGGCTCTTTAAGGGTCACCCAGAGACTCTGGAGAAGTTTGACAAGTTCAAGCACCTGAAGTCAGAGGACGAGATGAAGGCGTCTGAGGACTTAAAGAAGCATGGTGCCACCGTGCTCACCGCCCTGGGTGGCATCCTTAAGAAGAAGGGGCATCATGAGGCAGAGATTAAGCCCCTGGCACAGTCGCATGCCACCAAGCACAAGATCCCCGTGAAGTACCTGGAGGTAGGAGCAGAGCCTGGGCAGGTGGGAGGATGCGGGGAAGGCCTCGGGTGGGGCAATGGGATCTGGGTTCGAGTCCAAGCTCAGCCACTAACTTGTGGGATGACCTATGCCACTCTTCTCTGTGCCCCAGGTTTCTCATTTGTAAAGGGGACTGCCACCCACTTTGCCTTCCTCCTGGGATTGTTGAGAATGAACACACTTAGCATTTTTAATTTAGTATGCCAAATTCACATCTTATTACCAAAGAGGAAAGGGAGAGGGGATATTGGGTGCAAAATTTGCATCCTCTCCATGGGTAGGTACCATTATCATATCCACTTGATAGATGGGGAAACTGAGGCTCACAGAGGTTAAGCAGCTTGTCCACGGTCACAGGAGGTGGATAATGGCAGAGCCAAGATTCAAACGCAGGTCTCTATTACTACAGAACCCCAGCCCCTAACTGCTGTGCCACTGGGAGTCTGGTACATGCAGGACTTATGTGGCAGGAGCTCAGCAAGTGGGGCTCAATTTGGGGTGGGGGTGACCAGCAGGTTGGCTCTATTGGTTCCAGCATCTTCACAGATGAAGAGACAGGACCTCGGTTTCCAGCACAAGCAATTGGTTTGGACCTCCTGAGATGGGTTGGAAAGTTGGGTGGATCAGGGTTGGGGGCAGGAGCCTGGGCTTCAGGTTGTGTGTCTATAACTGGTGGGAGGAGGCGATTTGGGGAGAGGAGGGAGCTGGGGATGAAGGACCACAGGGACAGGTGCATCCCCCGAGGGTAGAAACAGCAGGAAGTCTGGTGCAGCCATGAGGATTAGGATGTGGTGATAGCTACCCGCTGGGATGGGCCACAGTGAGCATTTGCTGCCATGCCTAGCACATGGCATCCATCCTCAAAGTTGCCTCATGGCCAAAATGACTGCAAGAGCTCCAGCCACCTCTTCTATATTCCCAACTGGAAGCAGGAGAAAGAGAGGAATGCTCTCTTTTGAGGAGTTTAAGGAGTCCCAGAAATCTCATCCAACAATTTTATTTACATCTCATTGGCCAGAAGTTAGTTACGGAGCCATCCTGTCTGCACGGGAAGCTGGGAAAGGTAGTCTATCACCCCTCCAAATACAACTAGTGTTCTGTTACCAAGGAAGAAAGGGAAATGGATATTGTGGACGTAATTAGCAGTCTCTGCCCCAGGCAAGTACCCTTCTCATCCCCATTTTGCTGGTTTGGAAACTGAGAGCTCAGAGGGTTTAAGTAGCTTGCCCAAGGTCACACAGCTGATAAGCCAGGAGGTACAGTCAGATCCATGGTACTCTGGAACCAGGCTCTGAATCCACTGTGGCACAATATCACCCATTGACAACCACCGCCACCCCTCTTTAACTTCGACCTTTGCACCCCACCCCACAATTGCGCAGAGTCCTGCCTGCCCAACTGCTCCACATCACCAGCGTGAACAGACAACCCTGCATGTGAGGCCGTCCCTGCCTGCCCATCTTCTCTCTGCAAATCCCTGTTCATCCACTAAGGCCCAGTGCGAAGCCATCTCCCCTGCTTGGAACCCCAGGCCCACGAGGCTTTCAGCGGTTCCATCTGCCAGCCCCTCCCTGCACCATGGCACTTTATCTTCATCTCCGGTCATGGCACTGCCAGGCTGTGTGATAATTTGTCTCTTTGCCCAGCGGTCTCCCAGCAGACACTCAGCTCCCTAGGGGCTACCATTTCTGTGCCCCACTGGCACGTGTTTGGCTCACCATACACTTCCAATGACTGAGTTCTCTCTCTAGAGAGGAAGAAGCCGAGTGTTGGATAGAAAAAACCATGCAGCCAAGATATCACAACCAGTTGGCCACTAGAACCCAGGTCTCCCTAAAACATGCTTAATCTGATGCATAACCTCTGCAAAAAATTGAGACAGAGCCCAGATGTCTGCTTTTCCCCCTCACGGTGGACCTTCGCTCTGCGCTGTTCATAAGACAGTCTCCACCTCACCTGTGGACAGATTGTCTCTCTGAGGGACTGAGGGGCTGTACAGGGTGGTGGGTGCCGAGAGTGTTTCCATTTCTCAATTATGCAGTGGCTCCGTTCCACTGTTTTCTAGATATGAGTGGCTCTGCCATGGACTCCAGAAAGTCTGAGCTGGGGGCCCAACCAGGCCATCTGGGTGGGTGAAGTCACACATGGAGTCGGGGCATAGGTGGCCCTGGAACTTGATTCTCTCAAGTTCTCTAAGGACAGGGCTTGCTCCATGACACCCTGAGCCCCCACTTTGTTTTGTGGCATTCATGAAATGGAAGGTGAAGTCAAGCATCCACCTTGATGCCCAAGAGTAGGCGTTTGTGGAGCTGCCCCTCTTTCCCAGCAGAGGGGCTTATGGGGTGTTGATGCTTCTTGAGGCCTCCCTTTGCATGTCCCACCCGCGACTATCCCTGCTTTATGTCACTTGCACCCTGGGGCCCTGAGAAAACGAGAAACCCAGCCTTGGTTCAGCCACTGCCTCCGTTCCCAGCTCTGGCAGTGGCCTGCCCACAGCCTCCTGGGCGCAAATCCATCTCTGCTCTCTGCTTCCTGCGTGACCTCGGTCTGGCCACTTGATTTTCTCCTCTGTAAAACGACACTCCTTGGTGCACCAGCCAGGGCTGTGGTTGGGATCAAATCTGGTTAACTTGAGAAAGCACAGCCGCATTTCACATCCATGAGTCTTTCCATCCCTAAAGCAGCACCATGCTACATCTCCGTTTTCCCATGCCCATCTCTGTTATCCGGGCAGTGAGACTGTGGGTACTAAAGCAAATGGCAATGCTGAGGCTGATAGCAGACATTCTCCATCCTGGGAGCCAGCCGCGGGCCTCATCCCTGTCTTCTTCCTCTCTCTCCTTCCCTCCCACCAGTGTTTCTGTGCTTGGTATAAAAAATAGGAGGCTGTGCCCCCAAAATAGGGTCTTTAAAACAATAACCATACCAAGTCATTAAGTATGCAAAAATTGCATACACACAAATAGAAATAGTTCCTTTCTAGACTTTCTGATTGCAAAATCCTGAATACAATAATGAAATCTGAGCATTTCCCTTCTTTTCTGCTGCCCCCAAGCGGGTGGTGCTCTGAGCTCTCACCTGGTTTCAGTGGGGTCTACATCCTGATGGAGTGGAGGGGGCTGTGAGTAAGAGCGTGGGCTCCGGAGCCGGCCCTCCTGGGTCCAAATGTCCCTTCCATTCAACCTCCCCTCGCCTCAGTTTCTGCATCTGTAAATCGAGGGCAGTTGTAGTATCTATCTCACAGTGGTTGTGGGGATCAAAGGGGTTCATCCGTGGAGATCACACAGACTCTCACCTGGTGCCTAGCAAGTGCTCAATACACGGTCCTGGAATAAAGAGAAGGTAGGAGGACAACTGACTCCCATCTGGCCCCTGGCTTGTCCCACCCTGGTGACCATTTTCTCTCCTCACCCTCCCTGCAGTTCATCTCGGAATGCATCATCCAGGTTCTGCAGAGCAAGCATCCCGGGGACTTTGGTGCTGATGCCCAGGGGGCCATGAACAAGGCCCTGGAGCTGTTCCGGAAGGACATGGCCTCCAACTACAAGGAGCTGGGCTTCCAGGGCTAGGCCCCTGCCGCTCCCACCCCCACCCATCTGGGCCCCGGGTTCAAGAGAGAGCGGGGTCTGATCTCGTGTAGCCATATAGAGTTTGCTTCTGAGTGTCTGCTTTGTTTAGTAGAGGTGGGCAGGAGGAGCTGAGGGGCTGGGGCTGGGGTGTTGAAGTTGGCTTTGCATGCCCAGCGATGCGCCTCCCTGTGGGATGTCATCACCCTGGGAACCGGGAGTGGCCCTTGGCTCACTGTGTTCTGCATGGTTTGGATCTGAATTAATTGTCCTTTCTTCTAAATCCCAACCGAACTTCTTCCAACCTCCAAACTGGCTGTAACCCCAAATCCAAGCCATTAACTACACCTGACAGTAGCAATTGTCTGATTAATCACTGGCCCCTTGAAGACAGCAGAATGTCCCTTTGCAATGAGGAGGAGATCTGGGCTGGGCGGGCCAGCTGGGGAAGCATTTGACTATCTGGAACTTGTGTGTGCCTCCTCAGGTATGGCAGTGACTCACCTGGTTTTAATAAAACAACCTGCAACATCTCAGTTTCTGCCTGGCATTTTTCATCTCCTAGAGTAAATGATGCCCCCACCAGCACCAGCATCAAGGAAGAAATGGGAGGAAGGCAGACCCTGGGCTTGTGTGTGCAGAGAGCCTCAGGAAAGAGGAGAAGGGGAGGAGGAAAGGCAGGAGGGTGAGAGGGACAGGAGCCCACCCTCCCTGGGCCACCGCTCAGAGGCAGGCCCAGTGCAGGGCATGGGGAAATGGAAGGGACAGGCTTGGCCCCAGCCTTGGGAGCACCTTCTCTTCGGGGGAGGTGGGAGGCAGCGAACAGACCTCTGCAATACGAGGAGAGAGTGACAGGTGCGCCAGGCTGTGGGAACCCAGAGGAGAGGGGAAGCCATCATCATCATGGCTGCAATACCTTCAGTAACATGGGAAGGTCACCCTGCTAGTAAGTGGCAGAGCTGGGACTCAAACTATGGCCTGGAAGGCAGCAGGGACTCCAGCCAGGGAGAGAGCAAGGCGGCCAGCCAGTGGCAGCTGCTGACCTTCTGGCCACAGAGAAAGGACAGACACATGGGGAATAATTTACAAACACAGGCCAGGAGACAAAATCCATATCAGCGAAGGCAGAGTGCACGGGCAGAAAATGTAAGTATTGCTGCGAGGGCCAAAAATAAAATGTTGGCATGTAATTGTGGCAGCCAGGAAGCAGGCTGCAGCAAAGGGTGTGGAAAGGGGCCTGGAAAAGGGCCTGGTGGGCTGGACCGGCCCACGTGCCCAAGCCATGAGGTCCTAGAATGCCACCACGACTCTGGGCGCCATCTCTGGGAAGCCCCAAGTCCTGGGCACCTTAAATCTCCAGTAGCTCCCAGAACAAGGGACCTTGAGCCCCCCTGCCCTTGAGCATCTGTCTTGGGGTCCAGCCCTACCCCTACCCCACGATAATCGTGACCTCACTGCCCCAAACCTCAGACTAAGCTCAGGCTCACGGCTGCTGGGCAGAGCAGTGCTCCTCTGCTGGATGTGGACACGTCCCAAATCCTAGCACACTTATTTACCAGGCTGTGCGGTGGCACCAGACAACCGCATTAAAGGGGAACCTTCTTCCTTTCTGCGCCAGGATTTGGGAATTCGTATGCTCTATGAAGAGGTGGGAGAGAAAGGAGGGGAGTTCAGGGTGAGGGGAGCTTTTTGATCTTGGAGCCTGGAGAAAAATTCCACATACTTAGAGAGTAATTCAATTGAACACTCAGGCAATGAGCAGTTCTGTAGAGGATTCATGTGCAGGATTTAAAGTTGAATAAACTGGGTCCCTGTCTGCAAGCCATTGACAATCTAGTCAGGGAGACAGATGTGTTCTGATAATTAAATCAGGGCAGAACACCATTAAGGATGCAGAGATGCACCCGTTACTTGTTATTCATTCAGCATCCATTGAACAAATGTGTGCTAAGCAGAGCAATTTTTTAAAAAAATTCCCAGTTTATGTGCACCTTGGATGCACACGATGCAACTTATTCTTTGTGTGTGTGTGCTTGTGTGTGCACGCCTGTGACTCAAGGGGACTTCTGTTTTGAATCTTCATTTTGCATGAGTGGCAAATACTTAATCTCAATTTATTTGAGATTTTTCTGTGGTTTTTGGGCTGATTCCAAGGGGCTTATGTGTGCCAAGTTGTGTGCGTGCATGGGGAGGTGGCAATCTGGTGGCTGCTGTCATCTGTCCCCAGGGTTGACCTCAGGACTGCTGCACCCACCTGGTCCTTAGTCATTGTTCCTTATCAGATCCTCTGCGTAGGAAACTGTGATCGCTTTTGCCTGGGACCACTTCCTCCCTGAAACACTCTTGCCCCATGAGGTCTCTGCCTGGAATGTGAGGCATGGATTTTCTCTGTGTTCAGACCCCGCAGACCTGTCTGAACTTTTTTTTTTTTTTTTTTTTTTTGCCTCTTTTAGGACTTGGTAGGGCTTGTGCAAGGCGGCTCTGTATGGTTGTATGGGTTGTGCACTCCACATGAGTGCCTGGACGAAGCGGGTAATAAGAGCTGGATGTGAACTGTGCTCCAGTTACCAAGCTGTGCACCCAGGGGGGTGCCTTTTCCTAACCCACACAAGGTGCTTTATGAGCAGGGACAGAGCCTCTTTCTCTGAGAACTACCAGCATCTGCAATCTGGGTGTTTTCTCTGCAGTTCTCTTCTTTATGACAGTTTCAGAAAATGATTCTCCAGCCTGGAAAGCAGAAAACTCTCATGATTTCCTCCAAGTATTTTCTCCTTTCTGTGTATTCCTTCTGGTTCTCTCTGAGTCTAAGCTTTCGACACTGCAAATCCAGGCAAGAGACATGGGTTTTTTGTTCTCAGCTGTCACATCCTTCCCTGAGGCTTAGGGAAAGAAATACTTTGCTGTCTAAAGAAGAGGTGAGAGCAAAAGGAATAAGGGCAATCCTGGGGGAAGAATAGAGGTTAACATTTAAAAAATATCCTAGCGGGGTGGTGGCTCATGCCTGTAATCCCAGCACTTTGGGAGGCCGAGGCGGGTGGATCACCTAAAGTCAGGAGTTCGAGACCAGCCTGACCAACATGGTGAAACCCCGTCTCTACTAACATACAAAATTAGCTGGGCACAGTGGCACATGCCTGTAATCCCAGCTACTCGGGAGGCTGAGACAGGAGAATTGCTTGAACCTGGAAGGCAGGGGTTGCAGTGACCTGAGATTGCGCCATTGCACTCCAGCCTGGGGACAAAGCAAGACTCAATCTCAAAAAAAAAAAAAAAAAAAAAAAGGGAAACTCTGTCTCAAAAAAATAAATAAATAAAAATATCCTACCGCTGTGACATGTATTCTACATTAATGTAACCAGTATTTATTGAGCATCTACCATGTACCAGGCCCCAGACTGAGACTTAGGCTTCAGTCTAAGTCACAATCGTGAATAAGGCAGACATGGTCTCTGCTCTCATGAGGCTTCCGCGGTGTGGGGATGAAGGAGAAAGTAGCCCATGCTAGGCCTCGGGGACAATAAAGGATTTTTATGAGCAAAGAAGGGGCCGGACATAGTGACCTATGCCTGCAATCCAGCACTTTGGGAAGCTGAGGCAGGTAAGTCACTTGAGCTCAGGAGTTTGAGAACAACCTGGGCAACATGGCGAAACCCTGTCTCCACAAAAAAATAGAAAAATTAACTGAGCATGGTGGTGCACGCCTGTAGTCCCAGCTACTTGAGAGGCTGAAGTGGGAGATCACCTATGCCCAGGGAGGTCAATGCTGCACTGAGCCGTGACTGTGCCATTGCACTCCAGCCTGGGCAACAGAGTGAGGCTCTGTCTCAAAAAAAAAAAAAAAAAAAAAAAAAAAGAAGTAGGAAGAGAGTTTCAGGTGTAGGAATTGCCTAAGGAGTGGCTTTCCAAATTCACTCAGTCATATATTCACACATGCATTGATCAAATATTTCCTGAAGCCTGCAGGGTGCCAGGCACTGAGCTAGGCTCTGGGGTGCCACAGTGAAGCAGACAGGCCCTGCCCCTGCCTCGGGGAGCTGACGAGGCACAGGGCTCTGAGAGTATGAAGATGAGGTGTGGGAGTGATGGCGGGCCCAGTCATGGTGGATGAAAGTCATAAAGAGTCAGCTGCTGCATAAGTCAGGGTTTTCCAGAGAAACAGAACCAACGGGAAGTGTCTACATAAATGTTCATGTTGCCTTTTCTACATTCACTTTTTTTTTTTTTTTGAGATGGAGTCTCGCTCTGTCACCCTGGCTGGAGTGCAGTGGCGCAATCTTGGCTCACTGCAACCTCCATCTCTTAGGTTCAAGAGATTCTCGTGCCTCAGCCTCCCTTGTAGCTGAGATGACAGGCATGTGCCATCACACCTGGCTAATTTTTGTATTTTTAGTAGAGATGGGGTTTCGCCATGTTGGCCAGGCGATCCACCTGCCTTGGTCTCCCAAAGTGCTGGGATTACAGGTGTGAGCCACCGAACCAGGGTCCTACTGGGATACCACACTAGTATAACATGTGGATATGGATATAAAAGCATGTTGTAAACTGTAGAGTATTTTAGAAATTAAATGGTTCAGGAGGTCCCAGTAGGACCCTAGTTCTGAACATCTGATTCCTGAAGCTGAGCTCTGTGTGTGTGCGTGTCTCTGGGCACACACTGGGTGTGTGTGCGCGTTGGCATGTGTGAGTCTGAGTGTATCAATGTCTGTCTGACTCTCCTGCTGTCAGGTCTGATCTTGGCTTCTAGCCACATTACCTGCCACTTTGGAATCCACAAGAGTCACCCCCAGGACAGCCCAGGCAACTTCTTTAAAATCTGGCCCTCCTGACTCTGCCTGGGACTGTGGCTTTCTGGGTGGAGCCTGGAGAAGTTGGATAGGATGTAAAAGAAACCAGGGCTTGGGCAATATCTGGGGAGCAGAAGTGAGAAACCGTGAAGAGCTGTGCGGGGTGACTCACTCGAGACCTCAACGTGGACAGCGAGCCACTAGCTGAGCAGAGCTGGGGCATCAGGTGACAGCAAAACAATGAGGGACAGGCTTGATAAGGTATACACACATACACGCACATGCAAATACACACAGACACACACGTAAATACACAGACACATAAACACTCATATGTACACCACATGCACACACACATGCAAATACACACACAGACACAAACACATGTACACACATGCAAATACATACAGACACAAACACATGTACACACACATGCAAATACACACAGACACACACATAAATACACAGACACATAAACACTCATATGTACACCACATGCACACACACATGCAAATACACACACAGACACACACATGCAAATACACACACACAAACACATGTACACACATGCAAATACATACACAGACACAAACACATGTACACACACATGCAAATACACACAGACACATATACACAAACGTACACACACATGCAAATACACACACAGACACACACTCATACACATACACACAAATACACAGACACGCACATACACAAGCACATGTACACCCACATACAAATACACACATACAAATACACAGACACACAACCACATACATACACACATACACACAGACACAACCACACACACATGCACACATACATAACACACATACACATATGCACAACCACACATATATGCACAGAAATGTACACACACATGCACACATACACATGTACAATTCTCACACTCATGTACACATGGCACACAAATACATGCATATACACACAACCGCACATACACTCTCACACACACACACTCTTACATATATACATTCACACACAGACACACACATACATGCTCACAGACATACACACTCACACAATGCACACACACACACCCTCACACAAATGCACACACACATGTACATACACCTGCACATGGACACATACATAACACACATGCAAATACACACATACACACAAACACACATATATACACAAACATGTACACACAATACATGCACACACACACGCACAATTCTCACAAGCATGTACACGTGACACACATATACATGCATATACACACACCCGTGCACACATACACTCACACACTCATAAATACACACACATGCACACACACTCTTACATACACATACACACATTCACACTCTCACATACACACACATGCACACATAACACATGTACACACAAATACATACAATCACACACATATACCCATACACAAACACACTCACATGTACACAAACACACACATACATGCACACATAGACAATTCTCACATATACATGCACACATATGCACACACACATGCACGCACACACGCACACACGTTTGCCATTTTATTAGTAATGAAAATGGCATCTTATATTTCTATTCTATTGTGTTTTCTCTCTCAGGTGCACACATGCATACACACACACAGACACACACACATATGCACGCACATGCACACCATTCATTGTGTGCTCCCAGACACGTGAAAGTGGTATCTTAACAAACAGACACAAAACCTTCCCCTTCTACTGCCCTCTGTCAATGCTGTTGCTTTTGTCTGACCACAGATTACCCACAAATAAAAAAATTCTTCCCATGCTGTTATTTTACACAGAAATACTGAACCTGTTAGCACACTCAGAAGGGCAAAATCTTTGCTGAAAATGTTCCAGTCATCAGAGGGCATCGGTTCCTCAAAAACAACGAGCGTCCGCTCCGAGGCGCGGAGCCTCTCCCATCTGCTGGGTGGCCTTCCCCATGGTGGCTGCGCAGGTTTCAGCCTCCTTGGAAGTTTTCCCACCGTGTATCAGAGTCAAGATCCCCCAGGGGCAGGGCGGCCACCCTTCACACATGCGTTAGAGAGAGGAGGTAGTTTTGCGGACCTGGTGAATTATGAAACTGGGTGATGTGGAGCTCCAGGTTTTGAGCACAGGGACCAAGTCCTCTGACAGATGTGGGAGGGATCAGACATGGGGGTGAGGGGCACTGGGCATTTCTGCTTCAGCCAGAGCAGCGGCACCTTTGGCCAACGTATCTATTGGGGTTCCGCATGATGTTTCATTAGAAATAAGCCAAGTGGGGTGACCACTGAAAAGAAAGGGTTGCTTAAACCACGAGCCTAGATGGATGGTTCTCAGGGGGGCTTGTATTTGGATATCAGGAGTATTTTGTTGCAGTGATGAAAGTACTGACAGTAAGAGGAGGGGAAAGCCAGCTATGAGGAGGGCCCAGCCCACTCTAAATATTTATTTACTTACTTATTTATTGAGACAGGGTCTTGCTCTGTCACCCAGGCTCGAGTGCAGTGGTGTGATCATGGCTCACTGCAGCCTCCACCTCCCAGGTTCAAGTGATCCTCTCATCTCAGCCTCCAGAGTAGCTGGGACTACAGGTGCACGTCACTATGGCTGGCTAATTTTTAAATTGTTTGAAGAGAAGGGGTCTCTCTGTGTTGCCCAGGCTGGTCTCGAACTCCTGGACTCAAGCGATCCTCCTTCTCAGCCTCCCAAAGTGCTGGGATTACAGAGGTTAGCCACCAGGCCAGGCCTAAATATTTAATATAGTCCAATGCATTGAATCTTTCAACAGCCCTACCAGGTAGGCATTATTATCATCATTGTCATCATGTTGGTATGGGTCAACTTGGCTAAGCCATGGTGCCCAATTGTGTGGTCAAACACCAGTCTAGATGCTGCTGTGAAGGTATTTTGAAGATGCGAGTAACATTTAAATAAAGAGACTTAGAGTAAAGCAGATTACCTCCATAATGAGGGTGGGCCGCACCAATCAGTTGAAGGTCTTACAAGAAGAGGCTGAAGTTCCACAAGGAAGAAGGAATTCTGCTTCCAGACTCAAGGCTGCAAAATCACTTTTCCCTGGGTCTCCAGCCTCCCGGTCTGTCCTGCAGATTTCAGACTTGCCAACCCGCATGATTGCATGAGCCAATTCCTTAAAATAAACCTCTCTATATATACGTCCTATTGGTTCTGTTTCTTTGGAGGACACTAACTTCCACAATGATCCTCATTTTACAGATGAGGAAACTAAAACAGAGAGAGTTTGAGTAATTTGCCCAAGACCACCAACTAAAAAGAAGGCAAGTTGGGATTTGCACCTGAAATCTGCCCTTCCTTCCTTCCTTCCTTCCTTCCTTCCTTCCTTCCTTCCTCCCTCCCTCCCTCCCTCTCTCTCTCTTTCTTTCTTTTGACAGAGTTTCACTCTTGTTGCCCAGCCTGGAGTGCAATGGCAGCTCACTGCAACCTCTGCCTCCTGGGTTCAAGCAATTCTCCTGCCTCGTCCTCCTGAGTAGCTGGGATTACAGGTGCCCACCACCATGCCCGGCTAATGTTTTGTAGTTTTAGTAGAGACAGGGTTTCACCATGTTGGCCAGGCTGGTCTTGAACTCCTGACCTCAGATGATCGGCCTGCCTCGGCCTCCCAAAGTGCTGGGGTTACAGGCATGAGCCACCACACCCCGCCAAAATCTGTACTCTTAAATGCTTGCAGCACCCTGCCCCCTAGGACATACAGGCTTATGCCACCAGCGTGGCATGCCTCATCAGCTTTGGGACAAATATTCTCCCGATTTTCACATTTTTCAAAGTAAAATCAGTCTGAGCCTCCACTTCCAGATTAGCAGCAAGTCTGACTTCTCCTGTGGGCTCTACTTCCTCTCCCTGAATTGCCGGAGAATGCAGGGGCTGGCTCAGCCCAAGAGGGCCAGACAGGTTGCACATGTGTGGTGGCGCTGGAGGCCCTGATCCGCCTGCCTGGGGGCCAGTTTCAGGCACTGCTGCCCTTTCGCCACCATGCAGTTGTGCTCTGGGCACCCATCCTGGGCAAGCTGGCAAGTCCTTGTCCAGTGCCCATAACCTCTGTCCTGGTCCAGACCCTCACCTGCAGGGCTGCAGGGAGCCCCAAGCTTGTGCTTCAAAGGCTGGTGGTTATCACTCAAAGCTGCACACCCTGTCATTTTACTCAAGGCCCAGGCTCGGGGACTAGGGGCATTGGGGCCTCACACTGCAGAGCTGAGCGAAGGATCCTTCAATAGGAGAATGCCAGCCTCGCTGAGCCAGTCCCCAGGCATCCTTCCGGCAAAATGTGGCTCTCCTCTCCCTGGCCCTCAGAAGGGAAGGGTGAGGCCTCCCGGGAGCCCTGTGACAAGTCTGTCTGCCCCATCCCCAGTTCTTGCATCTGAGGCTGCTGGGAAGGGTGATCTTCTTCAGGAGCTTGGTACGGGGGCTCTTCCGCCAGGCTGCGGGGGATTCCCAGCTGGTAGTCTTCCTGGAGCCGGTTGGAAGCATCATGACACCAGTTCAGAGTGAGTCCCACCTTCCATCCTGTGGGTGCCCTGACGCAGAGCCGCTGACTTTTGCTTGAGCCAGGGCAAGACTCACTAACACGCCAGCTGAAGCCAAGTGACCAAATCCTGCTAAGCACCTGCAGGCTGGACTGGCAGGAGTTCAAGCCTTGGGGGATGTCCCAATGGCTACCAGGGCCTGGGGCCTCATTTCTCACTTGTCACTTACACGGGAGTGTTCATGAGAGGCCATTGAGCATTGCAAGACTCTACTTATCAGAGGTGAGCGTTCCAGGCGAACCGGAGGCCACTGCCATTCAGTTGAAACTCTTGGATGCTTTTCAATGGCAGCTTCTTTCCAAACAAACAAACAAACAAACAACAACAACAACAAAAACATATTTTTTCAATTCCACCTAATCAGGTACCTAATACATTTCATTCACCAAATACCTGTGAAACACTTACTGTTTCAATTTCTTTTCCTTTTCCTTTTTTTTTTTCCTTGAGACGGTCTCGCTTACCCAGGCTGGAGTGCAATGGTGTGATCTCGGCTCACTGCAACCTCCGCCTCCTGGTTTCAAGCAATTCTCCTGCCTCAGCCTCCTGAGTAGCTGGGATTACGGGTGCCCACCACCATGCCCGGCTAATTTTTGTATTTTTAGTAGAGACAGGGTTTCACCACATTGGCCAGGCTGGTCTCGAACTCCTGACCTCAAGTGATCTGCCTGCCTCAGACTCCCAAAGTGCTGGGATTACAGGCATGAGCCAATGCACCCGGCCTTATTGTTTCAATTTCTATTGCTGCGTAGTAATAAAAATAGTATGTAATAAATAGTAATAAAGTCACCCCAAAATATAATGGCTAAAACACAACGGTTCTGTATCTTATTATTGCCTCTCCTGGCCCTAGGAATGGAGCAGGCTGAGCAAGCAGGTTTTCACTCAGGGTCACTCACACAGAAACTAGAGCCACCCCCTCGGGCCTGGATCATGTAACCGGCTGTCAGTTTGAAAACCCACACACAGCCCAAGGCCACGCTCCAAACCACTTGGCAATTCTGCCCAAGTCACTGGGCAAATAACTTTCAACGGCTCCTTCTCATTGCGCATGGGAGAAAAGTTCAGACAACGTGGCCCAACTTTTCCCTCCTGAACCCTGATTTGATGTGCAGTCTACAGTGCCTGAGCCCTGGGTTTGCTGTTCCTGGACTATCCAGTGCTCTCGGATGTCAGCCCCACTTTGCGGGCTGGAGTCTTTTTTTTTTTTTTTTTTTTTTTTTTTTTTGAGTAGTTTCACCCTTGTCACCCAGGCTGGAGTGCAATGGTGCGATCTTGGCTCACTGCAACCTCCACCTCCTGGGTTCAAGTGATTCTCCTGCCTCAGCCTCCCGAGTAGCTGGGATTACAGGTACCTGCCACCATGCCCAGTTAATTTTTGTATTTTTAGTAGAGATGGGGTTTCGCCATGTTGGTCAGGCTGGTCTCGAACTCCTGACCTCAGGTGATCCGCCCACCTGGGTCTCTGAAAGGGCTGGGATTACAGGTGTGAACCACCACACCCAGCCCCTTTGCACTCTTGAAGCCTCACTTTGGGAAGTGTTTCCTCTCCTCCCTGCCCATCCAGCCTGGAGCTGGCTCTCCTCCCTCTGGCACAACCCTTTCTCGAAGCACCCATTGCATTGCATACATGACATGTGGCCGCTCTACTTCTTCTTGACATGGCGACTGGGTTCCAAGATTAAAGGACCCAGGAGAAGGAGCCTGGCAGACGCTGGATGCTTTTTGTGACCTAGCCAGGTCATAGGTGGATTCAAAGATTTTCTGATTGGCAATTGGTTGAAACAGCTATTATCTAAAGACCTGGAATCAATAGAAAGGAATGTCTGGGTTAAGATAAGGGGTTGTGGAGACCAGGGTTCTTATTGTGCAGATGAAGCCTCCACGTAGCAGGCTTCAGAGCAAATAGATGGTAAATGTCTCTAAAAGGTGCCAGACTCTTAGTTAATCTCTTTTGGGTCAGGACAAGACCTGGAAAGGGAAGGGGATTCTCTATAGATTGTACATTTTCCCCATCAGAGATAGTTTTGCAGGGCCGTTTCAAAATATGTCAAAGAAATATATTTTGGGGGTAAAACACTTTGCTTTCTTTCTGGGCTTGCTATGTCATGTGATGCAATACTGGAGTCAGATTGGAATTTGGTGTCTTATTGCTATAAGGAGGCTGCATTGGCTGGGCATGGTGGCTCGCGTGTGTAATCCCAGCACTTTGGGAGGCCGAGGCGAGATCACCTGAGGTCAGGAGTTTGAGACCAGCCTGGCCAATGTGGCAAAACCCCATCTCTACTAAAAATACAAAAATTAGCTGGGCATGATGGCAGGAGCCTGTTATCCCAGCTACTCAGGAGGCTGAGGCAGGAGAATCGCTTGAACCTGGGAAGCAGAGATTGCAGTGAGCCGAGATCATGCCATTGTACTCCAGCCTGGGTGACAAGAGTAAAACCCCATGTCAAAAAAAAAAAAAAAAAAGAGTCTGTATTGTCAATCTTAAAATCTGTTTCATTGTTAGTGCTGGTCAGTTGTACCTGAAATCCAAAGTGAGGAGGGTATAATGAGGCCTGTCTGACCCCTCCTTCCCCTCGTGGCCGGAACTATTTTATCAGGTTTACTTTGGAATGCCCTTGGCTGTAAAGGCGGTCCATTCAGTCATGGGATGGCTTAGAATTTTATTTTTGGCTTACAATCTACTTCCCCACAAGTTGCCTTTCCCTCAAGGCCACAAGATGGCTGCTACACCTCCAGATATCACATCCTCACTCCACATCCAAAGGCAGGAAGAGGCAATTCCTGCTTCATGTCCTCATTTGAAGGTATGGAAGAACTTTCCAGAGGCCCCCTTCCTCCTCCCTGGCAGATTTTCTCTAAGTTCCCATTTTCCAGGACTGGGTCACATGCCTATGCCTAAGCCTGTCACAGTCAAGACCACCATGATGGGCTGGGAGCAACTGTAACTCACCCTTGGGGCAAGACTGAAGTCATCTTCTGTGAGCACCATTGGGGGTGAACTTCCAAACCAACAGGAGACTCTTCAGGCAGGGCAGATGGGATGCCGCTGGGGAGGGCTGGGAACCGATGGCATTGGCCATGAGGATGGCATAAGGTAGCAGGTGCTAAGCCCTTAGCCCGGGGCTGGGATGCCAGTGACACTCGTGCTCATGCCTGAATCAACAGCCCATGCTACACAACTCTTAGTCGTCACTCACCCAAGCCCCTGAGCCTGGTCTGCCTCTTCCCAGAGGTGTGATTTGGACATGTTTTTTCACTACTGTGTGCCTCAGTTTCCTCACCTGTGAAATGAAAATAATAATTTTTCTTCTAATTACTTATGCCAAAGGCGTTTGTGAGGATCAAATGAATTAATACACACCAAGCGCCTAGAACACCTTGTTCTTCCCCCATCATCAATGAGAGTGGCCTCAGGGGTGGACGGTGGCAGGAACTGGGTCCCGTTTTCCTGAATGTATTTCTTTCCTTAGTGAAGGGATCCCAGGCTGCAGTTTCTCACTGAGGAAGGGAGGAGGGGTCTTGGGGGGAGGAGCACACGCCACGTCTCACCCTTTGCTGAGAGGGCCCACAGGCCTCATGGGAAGGACACGTGCTCGGCTGGATCACCTCTGCCCCTGTGCAGGGAGCACCAAGGACCAGAGAGGGGGTGCAGGTGCTGTGCAGGGGTGGTGAGGGGACAGTCACGGTAATGGGACAACTATGGGCTGGGAGGAAGGAGGTGGAAAGTCCTGCCCGCAGCACTCAGGCTCCCCTAGGTCCCACCCACCACCGTGTCGCTGTGTGGCCTCGGAAAAACGTCTCCGCCTCTCTAAGCACCAGCATCCCATATGCTACATGGGATCAGTCATATTGAACCAACAGTGGAGCACTGAGTGTCAAAGCATTATCCAAATCTGAGGAATGAGGAGGCTGGGACCATTCCCAAGTGGCCTCAGCATCACAGGGTCTGAATGCCAGAGTTCCGGGAGCCCTTGGTGGTCACGTAGCTCAGATTTGTTTTTCCAAGTGAGGAAGCTGAGGCCCAAAGAAGATAAACCTTGATCAGGCTACCATGGTGAGAGGGAGGCCCTGCACGCCAAGCCCTCCCCCTTTCAAAGGATTTGTGCTAGGGACTCCGCAACTGCCCTCTGGCTCTGTTTCTGTTTCTTCCATCTCGTTCTGGCTTCTCTTCTGCTTTTTTCTCTGTGCCTTCCCACTCTTCCTCTCTCTCTCTCTCTCTCTCCCCCTCCCCCTTTTCTGTCTTTCTTTCCCTTTCTCTCTCTCTTTCTCTCCCTCTCCCTCTCTCCCCTTTTCTCTCCTTTCCCTCTCTTCCCCTCACCTCTCCCTCCCTCTCTCTCCCTCCCTCTCTCTCCCTCTCCCCACCTCTCTCTCCCTTTTCTCTCTTTCTTTCTCTTTCTCTCTCTCTTTCCCTCTCTCTCTCCCTCTCTCCCCCTCCCTCTCTCTCTCTTTCCCTCTCTTCCTCTCACCTCTCTCTCCCTCCCTCCCTCCCTTTCTCCCTCCCTCTCTCCCTCCTTTTCTCTATTTGGTCTCTCCCTCCCTCCCTCTCTCTTTCTCTCTCTTCCCCTCACCTCTCTCTCCCTCCCTCTCTCCCTCCTTTTTTCTATTTGGTCTCTCCCTCCCTCCCTCTCTCTCTCTTTCCCTCTCTCTTTCTCTAGCTCCCTGTCTCTCTCTCCCTCTCTCACTCCCTCCCTGTCTTCCTTCTTTTCTCTCTTTCCATCCCTCTCTCTCTCTTTCCCTCTTTCCATCCCTCTCTCTCTCTTTCCATCTTTCCATCCCTCTCTCTCTCTTTCCCTCTCTCTCCCTCTGTCAATCTCTCTTTCTCCCTCCCTCTGTCCCCCCACCTCCATCCCTCTCCCCCACCCTTCTCTCCCTCCCTCTCTCATCGGTGTGGGTATGCCTGTTGGTCTCTGAAGCAGGAGTTCTGGTGCTGTGGGTCATGGCTCCTTGCATTACTCCCTCTGTCCCTCCCTCTTTCCCATTTCTGATTCCATAAATTCTCTGAGATTTTGTAAACAATTTAAAATAAAGAGAAAAAAGTTTAAAAGCACAGAGTAGGGATGAGAACAGGTTGTAATTCACTGGGGTGCAGTGAGGCCAGGGCCTTAGAGAGTGAAGTGGAGCTCTGTGCACATGTGCCAGAGAGAGACAGAGAGAGAGGAAGGGAGGGACAGAGAGAGAGAACCAGTGAGAAGAGTGAGCAAGATGGAGGAGGGACAGAGAGGCAGAGACAGGGCAAGGGCAGCTTCCCCAGCACAAAGCCCTCTGGAATGAGGGGGACCTTCCCGCACATGCTTTACAGGCCCAGGGAGCGCAGCTCAGACCCGGCTGGCTGGATGACCTCAGGGCTCCCTTTCACCCACCCAGGTTCTGAGTCCAAGGACAGCACAGTGTCCAGAGCCCCAGTAAAAATAGAGCCGGAGTGGTGGCTGGCCTCCCAGACCTCTGGCTGCCCAGGGCCCTGGAGAGTCAGCCCAGTGCCTCCAGAGGAGGAGGAAACTGCAGCCCAGAGTGGGCAAGTGACCTGGCCAGGGTCACAGAGCAGTTGGGCAGCAGAGCTGGAGCCGGGGCCCCAGGCCTCCCAGCTGACACTCTCCACAGTACCTGAGCCCTCCCTGCGGGCCCTGAGGCAGGCCCTCCCCTCTCTGGATGGTGACAGACTGACTTACTTGAGTCTCCACTGCCTGTAATCTCCTTGAGGCCCGGTGGGGTGGGTGGGGCTGTGCCCCTGCAACGCACTTACCAGGCGTAAGAAGAACAAGAACAAACAGCTCACAAGGTGTGCCGGGTGCCTTCCGAGCACTGTACACATACTCACTCATTCATCTTCAAACCAGGCTTAGGAAGCAGAAGCTGCCATCACGCCCATTTTCCAGATGAGGAGACTGAGGCCCAGAGAGGTTAACTGAATTGCCCAAAGTCACAGAGCATGAAGTTTGGTGTGGCTGGTACTCCAAGCCAAGCTGTCTGGCTCTAAACAAATTAATGGATGCAAAGGAAAATAAAGGTTTGGTGCTCCAGCATAGCTAGCAGCTGCTGCTGTCATTTGATTTTGGGGCCTCTGAAGGTCACAGAGTCCTCCCTACCACACACACAGGCAGGCTGGGCCCACAACCGTACCCTCAGAGTTCCTTTTGTAGGAGACCGTGGTGCTGGGAGCGGAACCACTCCTTCACACGCTAAGCCTCATTCCCAGCCGGATAATGCCTTGTCCATCCCCAAGGCGGTTTGGTGGGATGGGTCAACATGGGAGTACAAAGCAGACAGCAGCCTGAAAGAGCATGTTCCAAAATTTTCTTTCTTTCTGTTGAGGTATGGTAATCGTTTTAACAACACAAAGTTCCAGGAGGTGGCTCATGACTGTGGCACTTTGGGAGGCCGAGGTAGGAGGATCCTTTGAAGTCCGGAGTTTGAGACCACTCCTGAGCAACATAGCGAGACCCTGCCTCTAAACAAAAATAAATAATATTTTAGTCCCAGCTACTTGAGAGGCCAAGGCAGGAAGATCACCTGAGCCTGGGAAGTTGAGGCTGCAGTGAGCCATAATCGCACCACTGCACTCCAGCCTGGTGACAGAGTGAGATCCTGTCACAAAATAAAATAAAATAAAATAATACAAATACAAAGAGTATTTCAAGAGGGCCTGAAATGTTTGTGTTTATCCTAAGGGGACTTGCCAGGAATGGGGTGGGTAGAGCCCCCTAAGGGCGTGAGGGCCCCCAAGTAGGCTGACCCAGGGGGCAGGCTGGGGAGAGCTGTCTCCCAGCCCCAACAGGTGCTGGCCAGGCCAGTCCTGGCACAGCCACCCGGGTGCTGGTGATAATCACGTCCTGGGGGTCAGCTTCAGCTAGAAAGGGACAGGTGTCGGGGGAGGGTGGAGGTGGCAGAGGGGACAGTGGCTCAGGCTGAGTCATCGTAGGAAGGCTGGCGGCTGCTGGGGGCTGGGAGTGTGGGCAGAGGGGACCGTTTCCATGGGGGAAGTAAGGCAGGAGAGGGGGTAATTATCAGGAACCTGTGACTGCGCCAATCAGTGCCAGAGAAGGGGTGGCCCTCAGGAGTTCCCGAAGGTACATTTAGCCACCCCACCCCTTCCCCAGTGGCTGCCTTATATATTTCCTTTTCTCCCTGTAACTCGAGGGTCTAGAGGCCGGACCAGTGCCCCTCCCCAGGCCCTTCACCCTCCAGCCCTGGCCCTCAGGACTCACAAACTCCCCGACCCTCCCAGCCTTTCTTCCAGTCCTAGATCCCTGAACCTAGGCCCCTGAAGCTGTCTGGCCACTCTGGATTCTGGCCCTAAGAAGGGTGGCTGAGGTTCTCTGGAGTCAGACAGACGTATTCCAGATCCCACCCACCATTTCTGAGCCGGGTGACCTTGGGCAAGCTCTGAACCACTCTGAGCCTCAGTTTCCTCATCTATAAAGTTGAGAGAACAGGCCACGCATGCTGGCTCATGCCTGTAATCCCAGCACTTTGGGAGGCCGAGGCAGGTGGATCACCTGGGGTCAGGAGTTCAAGACCAGCCTGGCCATCATGGCGAAATCCTGTCTCTACTAAAAATACACAAATTAGCTGGGCGTGGTGGCGGGCACCTGTAATCCCAGCTACTCAGAATGCTGAGGCAGGAGAATTGCTTGAGCCCGGGAGACGGAGGTTGCAGTGAGCCGAGATCGCACCATTGGACTCCAGCCTGGGTAACAGAGAAGACTCTGTCTCAAAAATAAATAAATAAAATAAAATAAAATTGAGAGAACACTGTTTTTATTGCAAAATGTTATTGTAAGACTTCAAAAAGCGGTGCCTGCAAAAAGGCCATATATCGTGTGATTCCATTTATATGAAACACCCAGAAGAGGCAAATTGATAGATACGGAAAGTAGATATGTGGCTGTCCAGGGCTAGAGGTGAGGCGGGTTGTGGCGACGGGGGCTAAGTGCTTCTGGGTTTCTTTCGGGGGGTGGTGAAAATGTTCTAAAGTGGATGTGGTGCTGGTTGCACACCTGTGGATATGCTAAGACTCACTGAACTGTGCACTTTGTTTTTGTTTGTTTGTTTTTGAGACAAGATCTCACTCTGTTGCCCAGGCTGGAGTGCAGTGTTGCAATCTCAGGCTCCCAAGTTCAAGCAATCCTCCTACCTCAGCCTTCCGAGTAGCTGGGACTAGAGGTGCATGCCACCACGCCTGGCTAAATTTGTTTATTTTTAGTAGAGATGGGGTGGGTCTCACTATGTTGCCTGGGCTGGTCCTGAACTCCTGGCCTCAAGCGATCCTCCTGCCTTGGCCTCCCACAGTGCTGAGTTTACAGGCTTGAGTCACCGCACTCAGCCTGTGCACTTTAACTGAGGAGAGCGTATGAGTGTGACTTGCTCTGGGTGGCAGCGGGGCTGCCTGGGCGCTAGAGGCTTACAGCCCAACCTTGTGGCTGTCTGGCCACCTACCCCATGTCCTGACCAGGGGCCAGAACTGAGTCATTTTCCAGAGGGCGGAGGCTGAGATTTTCTCACCCAGTGTGCTCATCCCTTACTCCCAGGAAGGGGAACGCCAGTCCAGGGTGACTGAGGTCTCAGGGGCCACTGCTAAGCTTCACTCCTTCCTGGCTGGCTCTGTGGCCTCGGGCAAGTGATTTCACCTCTCTGGCAGCAGTTTCCTCTTCTGAAGAAATGTAGATGATGAAATTCCCAGTCCTTATCTCACAGGCGGCTGTTAGGCTCAAATTTATGAGGACACCTCAAGAAGGGTTTAGTGCATCCTACATGCTTGGAAAATAGCTCATCATCTGCTAGGAGGGAGGCATGGGCAGGGGCAGAGTGTGGGCCAGAGACCCCGTATCCCATCCACTTTGTGCCAGAGTGGCAGGCTTTGTGAAGTCCAGCCCACCTCCTTCACATCCTTTCCTCTTATTTCCGCAGCAGCCTGTGCCCTACATGGCATTACGGATCTGGGACAGGAGGATCGGCCCCCCATGGCCTTGATTTGTTCATCTGTCAAATGAGGGGACTGAACCAAAAGAAGTCCAAGGTGTCTGACACTCACCTTGTTTCTGACAACCTTCACCTGCTCCCTGGCTCTGAACACCCACCGAGTGGCCACCTTTGTCTTCAGGATTCACCCTCACCTTGCCCATGGTCCTGTGGCTTCTTTTTTTACCCCTATTCCTTCTCCTGGCCCTTGGAGGAAGGGGCCCGCCTTTCTCCTGGCGTGATGGAGGGTGGGTTCAACAGCGTCTTGATGAAGTAACCTTGGGCATATCCTGGCTCTGGGCTTCAGTTTCCCCTGCTAAGCCCTCTCTGTCTTTGGGGGAGGATAGTGAAGAACCCCAGAATCTAGGGGTAGCAGGGGCCTTAAATGGCACTGGATTCAACACCAGACCCAATGCTTAAGGCCTCCACCGCACCCAGGCTATGCTTGCATACCTCTGGAGGGATGGGGAGCTCCCTGCTTCCCCAAGCAACCCACTCTGTCTGTTTGCTAGACAGCAGTGATTGTGTCTAACAGGGATCACACATAGTGGCTGGCACTGAGGCTCAAAAATGAACAGGAGCAGGGTGGCACAGAGGTAAGGACCTCGTTTGGGTTTGAATCCTGACTGTCTTCACCTCAGACTGGCTGTGTGTGGCCCGTGAGAGTGACTTAACCTAACCAAACCTCGGTTTCTTCATGGGCAGATGGCAGTAATGGTACCTGCCTTGCAAGGTTGTTGGAAAGGTTAGTGCTATGAAAACCAAACATCCCGGCACACATGAGTGTTTGTCTCATACCAGGCTCATTCATTCTCAGGGAATAGGTGCTATTGCCACCTGCATGTGTTCAGATGAATTGTTTAGAGGCACAGAGAGGTTAAGGAACTTGCCTGAAGTCACACAGTGACTGTGACGGATAGAGACCAGACCTGGACCCAGGCATCCTGTGCCCAGGCCCCTTGTACCCTCTCAGAAGGCATCCAGCTCTGTGCCAGCCCAACTATCTTCTCACGATGGTGTGGGCCTGAGTGCTACATGCTCCCTGGGCCCCAACATCCTTTTAGCCTCCGTTGCTCAGAGGACAAGAAGGGCTCAGGGTTTTCCGTTGTTACTTCCAGCTCTGTCCCAACCATATCATTTCAGATCCAGAGGACGAAGGCTCTGAGTCCAGCCAGAACCCTGGGGTGTGTAACCTTAGGAGGTTTGCTAAGGAGACCAGCATGACGAGCCGGCTGGAATCTGAGCTCTCTGACCCCCACTCCTGCCCCTACAGCCACTTGGTCCCATGGGGTGTGGCTGGACAGAAGCCATCCTCTTCCTTCTGCTCTGTCCAACTGGCTTCTACCGGTAGGTGACAGGGCAGTGTTCCCAGCAGTGGGACAAGAGGCACTGGCACCAGGCCATGAGCCATGCATTCCTAGCTCTGCAGGGCATGCATGCCACGCGGACTGTGACAGTGAGCTCTTCCAGGCCCCCAGTGAGCCTGAGAGGGGGTCTGGGAAGAGTCAAGAGACACCCAGACAGTGCCATGTGGCAGTGAAGCCTCTGGTCCCAATCTGCCAGGGTGCAAAGCCCCAGGACTGCTGGTGGGATGTTGGGTGAGTAATTTAACCTCACTGTTCCTATTTCTCCATCTATAAAATGGGTAGAGGGTAGCAGCCTTCTCATAAGGCTGTGTGACGGTTTCACATGTAAAGTACTTAGCACTATGCCTAGCACACAGAGAGGGCTCAGGGAGTGAGAATCATTGTTATTCTCATTCAGCATCCATCTCTCCACCTCTTTATACAACAACTACTTAGAAAGTGTTGGATTCAATTTTGCTCCATAACAAGGTACTCCAAAACGTAGTGGCTTAAAACAATCAGCATTTCTTCTTGCACACAAGGTGTGAGGATCAGGAATTTGGGACTGGCTTGGCTGGGTGGTTCTGGCTCAGGATCCCTCATGAAGTTGTGGGCAGGATGTTGGTCAGGGCTGCAGTCATCTAAGGCTGGACAGGAGAGAGGATCCACTTCCAAGGTGGCTCCCTCACAAGGCTGGCCAGGTCATGCTGGCTGTGGGCCAGAGGCCTCAGTCCCTCACCATGTGGATCTCTCCACAATGCTGCTTGAGTGTCTTCCCAACATGGCAGCTGTATTCTCCCAGAGCAAGTGGTCCAAGAGAGCCAAGGAGGAAGTGCAATATCTTTCATGACCCAGCCTCAGAGGTCTCACTTTGGCATTTACACAGTGTCCTCTCAGTAGCACAGGTCCTCTGCTCAGCGTGGAAGCGGACTCCACAAAGGTGTGCATACCAAGAAGCCAGGATCTCTGGGGACCCTCTGGGAGGCTGGCTAAACTCTGTTTTGCTTTAGGGATGCAGCAGTAAGCGAAATCACGGTGATTGCTCTCACAGTCAAGTACGACTATGTGTGTTTGTGGCTGTGTGTGTGCGTGCACGTTGAGTACAAAAGAACAACAGACAGCAAACTCAAAGAAATACCTTGAGACATATTCTACAAAGCAAACAGACAGAGTGGCATGATGCTGTATAACAGGGTGTTATAGAAAAGGCTTCTCCAAGGAGGGGGCTTTGGGATTGAGGCCCGAGGGTGAAACGAGCCCACCAGGGGCCAGGCAGTGAAAGAGGGTGTTGCAGGCAGTGGAACAGCATAGGCACACTCAGAGAGGTGGCAATGTGGTGGCCCCTGGATCTGGCCTGCCTGGTTTTAATGCCTCTTGGCCACCCTCTTTGACCTCAGTTTCCTCATCTAAAAAAGGGGATAATAACAGGTCCTACCACCTATGGGGTTGGAGGGATTAAGGGAGATACTTTGAGTGAAGTCCATAGTGCAGTGCCTGGTGCACCAAGTGCTCAGAAATGTGAGTGTCATCATCACGATTCAACAGTGGCACGCAAAGATGACAAAGACCTGGCCCGAGTTATAACTGTGAGGCCTAACATGGAGGGAGGCACTATCTGAAGCATTTCCTAGCAGTGGTGTCACCTAATGGAAGGCAATGATCTAGTATGGGAGATGGGCACATAAGACAAGCATTGGAACACCCTGGACAGGGTCTGGGAACACAGCGGGGGGGAGAGAAAGGGGGAGGAGGGTGATCTTCCTGACCCCGCAGGGGAGGGGTGCCTGGGAAGGCTTCCCCGGGAGTGGCACAGCCATCTGGAGAGATGAGTGGGCAGAGAAACTTCTAGGCGGCCAATAGGGGCTGGAGGGAGCACAGGGTCTGCAGGGGACAGCAGGTAGCTCCATGTAGTTCCAGGTGGCTGGAACTCTGGTCTCTGTGGACGCAAGGAAGGAGATGGGGAAACAGACTCATGTAATGAATGGGGTGGGCCTTGCCCGTCACAGTTGAGTGGGCTTTCCTGTGGGGTGGGATCAATGAGCAGGAGGGCCGGAGGAGGCAGGGACGGACAGATTTGGTGGTAGGAGTTTCCTCTGGGTACAGGGAGGAAGGAGTGGAGGCAGGGAGGCCAGTGGAAACACAAGGCCAAGCAAGGGATGGTGAGGTCAGGCCCAGGGCAACAGGTATACGAATGGAGGGGATGAGGTGTGCCCCAGAGGGGAAGGGGGAGCTGAGCAGAAGGTGGGGAGGGGCAGAGGAGGGGAAGAGGGCGGTGGCTCCTGCCCTTTCCAGGTCCTGGCCAAGTCTCCACTCCTTTCCAGGGAGCTTTCCCCTTCCCTCCTCTCCCTGACCTCAGATGCAACTACCCCCATCCCTAAGATAACACCAAAAGGGCCGGGCGCAATGGCTTAGGCCTGTAATCCCAGCACTTTGGGAGGCTGAGGTGGGTGGATCACCTGAGGTCAAAAGTTCAAGACCAGCCTGGCCAAACATGGCGAAACCCCATCTCTACTAAAAAATATAAAAAATTAGCAGGGCGTGGTGGCAGATGCCTATAATCCCAGCTACTCAGGAGGTTGAGGCAGGAGAATCATTTGAACCTGGGAGGTGGAGGTTGTAGTGAGCCGAGATCACACCATTGCACTCTAGCCTGGTCAACAGAGCAAGACTCCGTCTCAAAAAAAAAAAAAAAGAAAAGAAAAAGAAAGGATAATTCCAGATAGGCATGAGATCGTGGGAACTCTTCGGCATTCCTGCATTACAGCACTTACTATTTCAATGGTGGCTACCATCTATAGAGCACTTACTATATTCCAGGTAACACACAAATACACACACACACCCACACACAAAACTTCGTTTTAACCTCACAATAGCCTAGCAAGGTAGGCACGTGGCTCCTGTTTTACAGACGAGAATCTGGAGGGTTGGAGAGGCTAAGTAATTTACCAAAAGTCACATGGCTAGTCAGAGAAAGTCTGGGTTTCACTAAATTAGCTAATCAAAAGTGCTTATACTAGTGCCTGGCATATAGTAGGCACTCAATAAATGTTAGCCACTCCACAATTTTTTTGCAGAGATAGGATTGGGCCGGGCACGGTGGCTCACGCCTGTAATCCCAGCACTTTGGGAGACTGAGGTGGGCGGATCACCTGAGGTCAGGAGTTCGAGACCAGCCTGGGCAACACGGTGAAACCCCGTCTCTACTAAAAATACAAAAAATTAGCCAGGCGTGGTGGCGGGTGCCTGTAGTCCCAGCTACTTGGGAGGCTGAGGCAGGAGAATGGCGTGAACCCGGGAGGCGGAGCTTGCAGTGAGCCAAGGTCACGCCACTGCACTCCAGCCTGGGCGACAGAGCAAGACTCCGTCTCAAAAACAAAACAAAACAAAAGAGAGATAGGATCTTGCTATGTTGCCCAGGCTGGAGTGCAGTGGCTATTCACCTGTGTGATCATGGCACACTACAGCCTCTGACTCTTGGGCTCAGGTAATCCTCCTGCGGAGTAGCTGGGACTACAGATGTGCACTACCACGCTCGGCCCTTCCGCTATTTTTGCTAACATCATCAGCTAGATCTGTCTGGCTGCAGAGCCTATGGCCCTCTGGGGGGCCACTTGAATTTATCTTGTCCGGTTCTGAGAGTCTGTCATCTGTTTATTTGCCCCACTGGGCTGTGGAATCCGGCAGAGCAGGGACCAGATCTGGTTGGTCTGTGGGTCTTGAGCGTCCCTTATGGGGAAGGCCCAGAGTGCATGGTCAGTGATGGTTTGTTGATGGAATGAACAATGTATCAAGTTCCTATGCCTCTTAGAATCTTGGGATTTCTCCAGCCATGTTTGTCCCTTAGAATGATGGAATTTCATTAGCCATGTTTGTTTCTAAGAATCCTGGGGTTTCTCCAGCCATGTTTGGCCTTAGATCATGGGATTTCTCTACGGAGGAGCCTTGGTGATCATCCAGGACACTCTGTCTCTTACCAGCCTTCTTCCTCCCTTCCTCAGGCACTGGCCCATAATCCAGCTCCTACTAGCCATACCCTCCTCCTTGTCCCAGGCCAGTGCCCCCTACCCATCCCCAGACCAAAACTGGAGTCTCCACGAAGAGCTCACTTGTCTTGTCCTGGCCTCCCAGTGGCTGGACAGACTCCCTGCTAAGGCTCAGGGCAAGCCCCACCTCCCTGCCAGTCCCTCCAGCCACCTGCGTCTGCCCCTGACTGGGCTGGGGTGTGTCGGTCTCCTCTCTGAACCTCTGTTTCCTCAGCTGCAAAATGAGGAGGATCATTTCGAACACTTTTAGCTCAGCTTTGTCAGTTTGCTACCGGGGTCCAGCTGGGTGGAGGATGAGGACCTTATGTATTACTATCTCCCTGCATCTCTGTGGGGTACCTTGCGGCTCCCGGGGGAAGCAGCATGTCTCTTTAAGGCCACTAGATGGCACCAGCGTGTCACCCGTCTCCCTGCAGGCTGACCTCAGGAGGAATTCCACCTGTGGGATTACACCCTAAGGACCACAGCCACCTCCCTCCTCCCACTGGCAGGAGCCCCTGAAGATCTGCCAGTGGGCGCAGGCAGGATGTGCAGGAGTTAGGGACAGGGGTGGGGGTCAGACAAATTTGAACTGGGGAGTTCTGAGCCAGGCCCTGCTCTTAGAGAACATCCTGGCTCTCTGCTTAGCAGTTAGTTCGCTGGTGACCCTAGGCATTTCATAGCACCCCTTTGAGACTTCAGGTTCTTTCTCTGTGAAATAGGGTACCAAGTCTCTTCTCCTGTGCATCGTGGAAACTGAATGATACTGGGCACGTAAAATGTCCATTCTGCCTCCGGGCACAGAGCAAGCTTCCACAGCATTAGCTGCCACACTAGTTATTAGTGTTACTTTGTAATTTAGTATTACGTCTCAGAATCTCCTCTGGGAGGAGCCTTAGGCAGGATGCCCAGAGATCTGGGTCTGCAATGGACTGTTCTCTCACTGTGTGACCTTTGGCAAGTCATTTCCCATCTCTGGTCCTCGGCTTGGCCTCCACCAGCCTCAAGAGGCTGGGAGTATCATGGAAAAATAAGGGCTTGGGAATCAGACAGACTTGGGTGTGAATCCCACCCACTTCTCCTCTTCCCAGCTGTGTGGCTTTGGGCTGCTCTGATAATTCCCTAATGATTTGTGTGACTATTTATTCTAAGTCTGTCTTCCTGGTTCTCTAGTACGTTCCACGAGGGCCAGGCTCATGTCAACGTGGCTCACCTACATAAACTCAACACTCAGCTCAGTGTCTGGTACGAGTAGCTGCAATAAACAAGGGTGATTCATTATCAGCGTTACTATCACTGTATACATTCACTCAGCAGCAGCAGCAGACCCCGTGTTCAGAGAGTCCTCTGCACTCTTTTTTTTTTTGAGATGGAGTTTCGCTCTTGTTGCCCAGGCTGGAGTGCAATGGTACATCTCGGCTCACCACAACCTCCAACTCGCAGGTTCAAATGATTCTCCTGCCTCAGCCTCCCAAGTAGCTGGGATTACAGGCACCTGCCACCATACCTGGCTAATTTTTGTTTTTTTAGTAGAGACGGGGTTTCTCCATGTTGGTCAGGCTGGTCTCCAACTCCTGATCTTAGGTGATCCACCCGCCTCGGCCTCCCAAAGTTCTGGGATTACAGGTGTGAGCCACTGTGCTTGGCCCCTGCACTGTCTTAATAATCCTCATCATTACCTCTGTTTTATGGATGAGGAGACTGAGAGCCAAGGAAGTTAGGTCATTGCCCAAGGCCACACAGCTACAAAGTCACAGGCACTGGGGTTGGAAGCTGAGCTCCATGACAGCCTTGTGTGAACGGATGTGGCAAGCTGAGTGAGAGTCCTCCAAAGATACCCACGTCCTAATCCCCCAAATACCTGTGAATCGTACCTTATCCAGCAAAGGGAATTCTGCAGATGTAATTAAGTTAAGGATCTGGAGATAGGGACATTATCCTGGATTGGTCAGGTGAGCCTAATGTCCCCACAAGGATCCTTCTATGAGGGAGGCAGGCATGTGGCAGTAGGAAGAAAGAGATGAGATGACCAGGCATGGTGGCTCATGCCTATAATCCCAACAGTTTGGGAAGCCAAGGCAGAGAGATCACCTGAGGTCAGGAGTTCGAGACCAGCCTGACCAACATGGTGAAACTCTGTCTCTACTAAAAATACAAAAATTAGCTGGGTGTGGTGGCATGCACCTGTAATCCCAACTACTTGGGAGGCTTCAGCAGGAGAATCACTTGAACCCAGGAAGGGGAGGTTGCAGTGAGCCGAGATAGCACCACTGTACTCCAGCCTGGGCAACAAGAGCAAAACTCCATCTCAAAAAAAAAAAAAAAAAAAGAGAGAGAAAGAGATGAGACTGAGGAAACGGGAGAAAAGACCATGTGATGTGGGAATGAAGAGAGCATTGATTCTATCTTGAAAGACAAGGAAAACCAGCCCTGCTGACGCCTTTAACACAGTGACACTAGTTTTGGACTTCTGACCTCTAGAATTATAAGGTGATAAATGTGTGTTGTTTTAATTTACCAAGTTTATAGTAAGTTGTTACAGAAGCAATAGGAAAATAAGGCACAGAGAACTGAGATAACGTATAAAAACACCCGGTATACAGTTGCAGCTCACTAAATGTTCTTTCCTTCCCAGCACTACCCCGTTTTCCTTTTCCAGCTACAACAGAATGGCAGAGAGGAAAGGACCCTCCGGGATCTTCCAGTTCAGCCAGCCCATTTTACAGAGGTGGAGACTGAGGCCAGAGGTAGGGAATGGCCCCTATCTTGCAGAGGTGAAAGGGGTCCAGGGAGCGAACTTGGGGGAAGGTCCTGGGCTGCTCGGTCTGTTCTAGTGTCTAGCACTGGGCATCCTGGGTGAAGTCATCCAGTCCAAACCCATTTTCCAGGTGAGGAAACTGAGGCCTGGCATTGCCTGAGAGATCTGCAACCTGCACCCCAAGCTGACAGGGTGTGTGCAGGCCTGGAGCCCTCATGAGTCCTCCTATTCAAAGGCCCTTCCCTCCCCCTCTTGAGCGCTGTTCCTCTGTGTGTATCCGCTGCAGACAGGGGCCAGCAGGGTCTGGGAAAGCCACATCAGAAGCCTGCCCAGCTGGAGCGGAGGAATGGGAGAGTGGCTTCTTGGAGGTCTTCAGCCTGGGAAAAGTCCGAGGCCTTCCTGTCCCCGCTCACCCTGTTCCTCCCAGGCAGGTCTGGTCCAGACAGCTGTGAGAAGTCCCCTGGAGGCAGCGTCCCAGTGGAGCTGGGAGGAAAGAGGGGCCCAGAAAAAGGAATTTGACCTCTGATCTGCAGCCAGTTGGTAGCATTATTCTGGATTATCCTAAATTGAGCCTGGAACCCTGGGCTTGTGTGACAGACCAAGGGGCCCCACGGGCTCTCTCTGCTCAGGCAGCTGGAGACACAGGTAGCGCCGTAACACCCAGCGACACAGGCATGATTCTTTTCCATAAAACATTCACACCACTGCCAGCCTTGATTCTCAAAACAGCCCTGCCAAGGAGAGGCTGTTACTGTCCCATTTTACAGATGAAAACATCAAGGCTCAGGGCCGGGCACAGTGGCTCACGCCTGTAATCCCAGCACTTTGGGAGGCCGAGGTGAGCAGATCATGAGGTCGGGAATTTGAGACCAGCCTGGCCAACATGGTGAAACCCCATCTCTACTAAAAATACAAAAATTAGCTGGGTGTGGTGGCGGGCATCTGTAATCCCAGCTTCTCGGGAGGCTGAGGCAGGAGAATTGCTTGAACACGGGAGGCAGAGGTTGCAGTGAGCCGAGATCGCGCCACTGCACTCTGGCCTGGGCGACAGAGCAAGACTCCATCTCAGAAAAAAAAAAAAAAAAACAAGGCTCAGAGAAAAGAGGGGACTTGCCAAGGTCAACGTCCCATGGTGGCAATGCTAGAACTCCACTAGCTTCGGGACCTAAGCTCTTGTGGGATGACCCTCGACATGACTCTAGCATGTTCTAGCGGCAGCCTTGCTGTGGGACCTTGAGCAAACCCCTTCTCTGAGCCTCTGAGTTCCCATCTGCAGGGGAGCAGATAGCAACTGCATCTACTTCATGGTGGCACTGTGTGGATAAATGAGTGAGCACTGTGCCTGGCACATGGGCAACACCTCACTATTGCTCACCCTCACCATCCCTGCATGGGTTACTGGATTACAGCAAATGATACCTGAGTATGCACCGGGCATCAGGAACCCAACGGACAAAAGTCCTTGCACCATAAACAGGCAATGCAGGAAGTGAGGGTGTGGCCGCGTTGGTCCTCGGCGGAAAAGCCTACCAGGTAGGCGGAAGAGCAAGTGGGGTGGGGCTGCCTGGAGTGTTCAAGCCACACCAGAGAGGCCAAGTTGGGTGAGCAGTGGGACAAGGCCCAGGAGAAACCAAAGAGATGGTGGGGGTACAGCCAAGCCTGCAGACCATGGTATCCACTGGTGGACTTCAGCTTCCACTTTCGTGAAATGGGGCTATCGCAAGGTGGCCTCGTTGTCAACAAAACCCGCAAGGCCTGAAATAGGCCCTTGGACCCTGGGTCGCCATCTGAGAAGTGGAATGGTCACGAGGCAGCCACGGTCCCCCACTGGGGACATTTTGTTCTTCTGGCTGAGACCCAGGGAGTCCCCAGGGGCACACTGGGATTGCCCTGCTGAAGGCCTCTGCAGCTGAGGTCCTCCTCTGCTGTGGCTCTGACGCTTTCTGAAGAAGCTGTGCAGCCTGCTGCTCTGGTGTGGGTGCAGGGCCCCTCCCAGGCGACCTCCTGCTGCATGCCGTGTTGAGGGGAGTGTGCGTGTGAGTGTGGGCCCGGGTGTCTTCCTCCCACTCATCTCACTCCTAGGGCTTCCATTCCAACCTTGGATGTTGGGGTACAGTAAGCAACTGCTCACTGCCTCATTCCAGGGGTGCCCTGGGTGAACAATCATCTCCTACCTCTCTTCCTCACCCTCAGGATGCCCATGGTAAGGCTGTAGCTGCTGCCATCATCCCTCTGGCTTCAGTTCAAGGGGAAGGAATATCTGCCATCCATCCACATCCTGGTCTTCTGTCCTCCCACCTCTCTATCTGCCTGCTTATTGGTCCATGCATTTATCTCTCCACCCACCTACCCAATGATTCCACTCACATATCCATCCATCCATCCATCCATCCATTCATCTCTCCATCAATCCATCCACCCACCCATCCATCCACCATCCATCCATCCATCTATCCATCTATCCACCCATCCATCCACCATCCATCCATCCAGCCAGCCATCCATCCATCCACCCACCCATCCATCCATCCAGCATCCATCCATCCATCTATCTACCCACCCACCCATCCATCATCCATCCATCCATCTATCCACCCATCCATCCACCTTCCTTCCTTCCATCTGTTCACCATCCACCATCCATCCAGCCAGCCAGCCATCCATCCATCCACCCACACATCCACCTTCCTTCCTTCCCTCCCGCCTTCCTTCCTTCCTTCCATGCTCTGAAAAACCACCAGTCTTTCTGTCTGATTACTATTGGTCCATCCTCTCACTCATCCAGCCAGCCATTTGTCCATCTTACACTCTCTCTCATCTACCTATTGGTCTTCCCCAAAACAGACCTCTCTGCCTGTCAATTGGTCTATCTATCCATCCACCCACCTACCCTCTTGCCGACTTCCCACTCACCCATCCATCAATCCACCTTCCTCCCATTCATCCATCTCTCCACCCCACTTCCCACTGGTCTGCCAAACAACTTATTAGCCTGTCTGTTGGTTCATCCACCCATTCATGGGACATTTATAGAGGCCTATCCTGTATGCTCAACATTGTAATAATAGCTGCCAATAATAGTAAAAGCTACCAATTACAGAACATTTGTTTTACATCAGGGAATTTCCTACATTCTCACATTAACCTATCCTCATTTGACAAATGAGGAGAAAATGCTAAACAACTTTTATTTTTATTTATTATAATTTTTTGGAGATGGAGTCTCGCTCTGTCACACAGGCTGGAGTGCAGTGGTGCGATCTTGGCTCACTGCAACCTCTGCCTCCTGGATTCAAGTGATTCTTCTGCCTCAGCCTCCAGAGTAGCTAGGACTATAGGCGCATGCCACCACACCCGGCTGATTTTTTGTATTTTTAGTAGAGATGGGGTTTCACCATGTTAGCCAGGACAGTCTCCATCTCCTGGCCTCACGATCTGCCCACCTCGGCCTCCCAAAGTGCTGGGATTACAGGCGTGAACCACCGCGCCCGGCCACTAAACAATTTTCAATAGACAATTGTCAAACTGCTTGATTTAACAGTGACTATAAGGTAGATACAATCACCATTTTGCAAATAGAGACTTGGCCATGCAGTTTGCCTGAAGTCACAGCACTCATGAATGACAGGCAGAATGTGGCCCAAGTGTTCTGACTCGAGTTCAGCACCCCTTCCCTCCGACCACCACTGCCTGAGCTCTGGCATGGGTGCCAGTACACCTGATTTCCAGTCCTGGCTCCTGCCATCCCGGGGTGTGACTGAATACATCAAGTCAGGCTTGGGGCCCCCATTTTCTTGTCTGGGGGTTGGAGTAGTAGCTTTTAAAAAGCCAGGATTCCTACAGCTCTTCCTTTGCTTCTTCCTCTGCCTCCCCATGAAGAGCCATGAGCACCCCGGAGAGGAGCTGGGCTAGGGGAGCTCTGAGTCTCTGACCTTGGACATGGCCTGGCCCCATGTCGACCCAGTCTGACCCACTCACTCACTCTTACTCACTCACTCAACAAATCTTCACTGAGTGTGTACCACAGGCCCGAGCCCTGCGGGCGCCATTTCTTACCATGGCTTCTGGACTAAGTAACACCCAGCCAAGGAGAAGGCGGCAGGCCCCCTAGGACAGGAAAGTCTCGTCTGCCCACCAGCTTGCCTGGGACCTCACCGTTGCCCTTGGTTTTCTCATCTGTGCAATGGGCTAATAATGGCCACCTCAGAGGATCAAATGAAGGAAAGTACATGTGGACCTGAGGTGGATCGACCTCAGAGGATCAAATGAAGGAACGTACATGTGGACCCTCTCCTCTCCCTTCCTTAGGAAATAATGGGGCTGACTTGAGCAGAGTTTCCCCAGGGGGACTGATGGGTTGACTTCTGGAGCAGGGGCCCCATGAAATTGCAGGCAGTGTTTGGGGTGTGTGTGTGTGTGTGTGTGTGTGTGTGTGTGTGTGTGTGTGAAATCTTCCACCAGGAAGGTCCTTACCTTTCATCAGACCTTCTGGGGGTCCATGACCTTCTTCCTCATTATTATAAAAATGATTGTTTGAGTGCTGACTCAGTACAGTTCTAGGTTCTTAGTACTCCTTGCCTCATTTAATCCTCAGTAGACAGCAGATGAAATAGTGATGGAGCTCCAGGATCCCAAAGCCTCATTGTCTGGAATTAAATCCTGGCTCCATCACTTCCCAGCTGTGTGCCCTTGGGCAGGTTAGCTAACCACTCTGTGCGTCAGTTTCCTCAGAGCTAAAGAAGGATGACAATAGTATCTCCTTCCTAGGGTTGCTTGGAGGATGACACACAGGTGCAGAGCTCAGAGCCATGCCTGTCCCTGAGCAGCACTCCGTAACTAGGATCTGTTAAAGTAGATGAGGAAACGGAGGCTTGGAGAGGTGAAGGCATTTATCCAGGGTCAACCATTGAGGAGAGAGCCGGGACTCGGATGCAGGTGGTCTGACACTGGAGACCTTGCCTCAACCGACCTGCCCTATGTGTGTTCTCTAAAGGACCCTGACCTCATCCCATCCTTGCCCCACTTCTGGCATACAAAGCTCTAGATTTTATTCTTGTCTGAGCCAGGCAAAGTAGGGGGGCTGACCTGGATGGTCTCTGAGATTCCCTGCCATTTCTGGCATTGGAGGCTTCTCTGCAGGAGTCCCAGTCTGGGGACAGCGGACCCAGCAGGCTGACGTGCCTCCAGAGAAGCTGCAGAGAGTAGGAACACGTGACAGCCCTGAACGTGTGTGCAACCCCTGCCCCCCAAACCCCAGCCACCCACAAGGTGCAGCTCCCAAGTCTCCCTGCACAGCCTCCAGGGGGAGGCACCCCCGTGGGTGCTGCTCCCTCCCAATGCCATGTGACACCAGCGGGTGGTGTGGGAGGGAGGAGGAGATGGGCTCCCCCGCTGACTGACAGCTTTCTCTCTGGGGAAGGCAGGGAGCTCCTGAGGCTGCGGTCCTCGGCACCAGATGGCTTTTAACAGACTAGAACACAGAGACGTGATTTGCTGGGCCATTTCCTGGCTCTGTGTGCAAGCTGGGCCAGCGTCTTCATTCCCCAGGCCTCACTTTGCTCATCCACAAAATGGGGACAATGGCTCCTTCCGCGCGGGGCTGTGGTGAAGGTGACAAGTGGAAGAGGCTGTGTGTGGCAGCCCCAGCCCCTAGCAGGCTCTCAAAACTACCAATTCCTCCCCATCCCTGCTCCCCTCTGGAGGCTGAGAGGGACTCAGGCCTGAGACAGGAAGTGCCCTCCTTCGGCATCTTGTCAGAGGGACAGGAGTTTAGCTGTGACCATGGCTGGGGGCTTGGAGTGGACTGCGGTGGCCTGTGCGGGAGAAGAAATCTCAGTTTCTTGTCATCAGGACAGCTGCTCAGGGCCCCAGCTCTGCGCCTGCCTGAGCTCGATGAATGGACTCTAAACCCACTCCAGGCCTTGGTCTGCCCTTTCCTCAGCTGGATCTCTGAGACCTGCACCAGCTTTAACAACCTGTGAGCAGGGCGGGCATCGCAAAGCCTCCAGGGCTGGGGGTGTCTACTGGGCAAAACCAGGGGCCGGGGAGGGTGAAGTTTGGGGAATCTTCTCCACATTTGTTGGGGGAAGCAGACAAATAAGGGTCCATATTTGTTGAACTGCATATTTGCTTATTCAATCCTTCCTTCAAAAAATACCTCTGAGTACCTACTATGTGCCAGGTTCTAGGCGCTGGGGAAACAGCCATGAGCAAGACCACTGCTTTATTCTGGTGGGGGGCAGTCAGACGGCGGAGAGCAGATAATGATGAATACTATGAAGGAAAACCAAGCAGGGGAAGGAAATGGGGAATAACTGGGCTGCTCGTGAGGTGGGAGAATCAGAGAAGGCCTCTTCCAGGGGAGATATTTGAGCAGGACCCCGACGGAAGTCAGCGGGGAGCCACATGGACAATCAGGGCCAGCACATTCTGGGAGGAGGGCATGCTGCGTGCAAAGCCCGGGGCTGTACCCACTTGATGTGTTTGAGAACCAGCAAGAAGGCACTGGGGCTGGCAAGCAAGGAGCCAGGTGGGTTCAGAGAGGGAAAGCTGGGGGCAGGGGATGGTAGAGAACCTGGCTCAGAATCCTGGGCTTGAGGGGCTGGGAGGGGACCCTCAGGCCATCTTGATTTTGGAGCTGGGGAGAGGGGACATTCTTTGGGATCACTCCTCCGAGACCCCGGACCCCAAAGGCAGTAACAACTTGAACCTAGCAGATGGGCAGGAACACACTTTTGAAATTTTGCGTTCGGCCAGGTGCAGTGGCTCACGCCTGTAATCCCAACACTTTGGGAGGCCAAGGCAGGTAGATCACCTGAGGTCATGTCAGGAGTTCGAGATCTGCCTGGCCAACATGGCGAAATCCCACCTCTACTAAAAATACAAAAAATTAGCTGAGTGTGGTGGCATACACCTGTAATCCCAGCTACTTGGGAGGCTAAGGCAGGAGAATTGCTTGAACCGGAGAGGTGGAGGTTGTAGTGAGCCGAGATCACACCATTGCACTCCAGCCTGGGCAACAGAGCAAGACTCTGTCTCCAAAAAGAAAAGAAAACAAAAGAAAAAAGAAAGAAAGAAAAGAAATTCTGCATTCAGCCAAAGAGCCCTAAGATAATAAGAGGTCCTCTGACCCAGCCCCCTCTGTTCACACAGCCCACCTTGCAGATGAAGAAAGTGAGGCTCAGAGAACCAGTTTCCCGAGGACACCTGGCCCCACGGCGTGCCTGAATCCGGGGCACGCGCTTCCTGCTTTGGCACACTACGGCTCCTTTTCAAAACGATGTTTGTGAAAATTAGTCTCAGTAAAGACAGCTAAGAAGGATGGGTTGGGATGTTTTTAGCTGCCTGTAAGCCAGATAAAAGGTTCTGTTGTTGCAAAAATGCTTTTCTTGGGTATGCTATAAGCATCCGTTAATTTCAGAAATTATCCAGCCTCACTAAGTAGAAATGATGGGTGGCTTTTCGAATTCGAGATGAAGATGGGTTTTTTTTTAAATGTTGTTGATGGTGGTTTATTTATGACAGACTCTTTTCATACCCTGAGTGTAATAGCTTAAATTTCAACGAGTCAGGGACCACTTTTATTTTTTCATCTATGCAGCCCTGGCAGAGTAGGTACCTTATTAGCATTTACTGAAAAGGAGATTTTTCTGAATGGCCACTCAGAAAACTACAATTGTGCAATCATCTGTATTCACGTGTAAGTGGATAGGCAGATAGTAAGTTGAATTAATTAATTAATTAATTGGAGCCCAACAAGGCATGACTTCGAGTTACAAGTAGCCAGGAACCACCAGTTTGAGATCTCTGATTAAGGTAAGGTGGAGAAGTATTTTAAGGGGAAGATCACAAGCTAAGGAAACAGCTGAAAATTTGACAAAAGAAATTCCAAATTTGGGTTCCTATACTCTGTGAATAATGCCAACAGCCCCCTCCAGACTTAAGCTGCAGGCACAGCAAAGCTAGAGGGGCTCGTACTCGTTTTCACCAGGTTATGCTGCATAAGAAACAACCTCAATCTCAGTTTCTTGCAGCAATAAATCTTTATTTCTTCCTCAGGTTGTGTGCCAGTGGCAGGGGGAACTGCTGCCACAAGCTCTAGTGCGGGCTGTGGCCAGAGTCAGGCCTGGTCCACGTGTCTCTCATCCCAGGGCCCAGGGCAGGAGTGCAAGGTGGTAGGAGGAACTTGCAACGCCTCTTAAAGCCTCCACTGGAATCCATCACGTTGTCACACGGGCCCACATTTTGGGGGAAAATAAAGTCACGCAGTCAAGTCAACATCAACTGACAGAGCTGGTGATGAATAGTTGCTAAACAAAGATGCAATTTACTACCAGGATTTAGGGAACTGTGAGTCCAGGGGAGTTCAACCGTTCTCAGAAGGGGCCTTTCCAACCACCTTGGGGCACAGGGGAGGAGGGAAAGAAAGGAGTCCAAATGGACAGGGTTCTAAGATTCCTGCCTTCAACACCACCACCTCCGCTTTATCCATTGGGTTGCCATGTGTGTTTTCACCTCAAAGCTGCTTTAAAAAATGGAAAAAAAAATGACCTGATATTAACACAATTCTCTCATATTACACAGATGAAGATCAAGACCTCAAAAGGAGATAGGCATGAATAGGCCTATGACAGGCCTATCTCATCAGTGGCAGAGCTGGGACATGTACCCAGCAGGAGCACTCTTCCTATGGCACCCCCAGTCAATATATATTCATATAGTCATTCAACAAACATTTGCCACCCAACAACTCGGCACAATTTTGGCAATCATAGCATTCTCCCCCATCCATTCTGTATTTTGACAACCTAATTTGTGCTTGATTCATTTGTTCATTCAACAAATATTTTCTGAGGGCCTCCTATACGTCAGGCCATGCTATAGACACTGGGGTTATTTATTTATTTATTTATTTTTGAGACTGAGTCTCGCTCTGTTGCCCAGGCTGGAGTGCAGTGGCATGATCTCGGCTCACTGCAAACTCCACCTCCTGGGTTCAAGTGATTCTCCTGCCTCAGCCTCTCGGGTAGCTGGGATTACAGATGTGGACCACCATGCCTGGCTAATTTTTGTATTTTTAGTAGAGACAGGGTTTCACCATGTTCACCAAGCTGGTCTCGAACTCCTGACCTCAGATGATCTGCCCGCCTTGGTCTCCCAAAGTGCTGGGATTACAGGCGTGAGCCACCGCATCTGGCCGGCACTGGGCATATAGCAGTGAACAAAACCAGTGTTCTGAGCTTTGAGATTTACATTCTAGGGGAGACACAAATAATAAATAAAATTTTTATTTCATATATATATATAATGCAATAGATGCTATAAAGAAGAAAAGCAGAGAGGGGGAGTAAAGAGTGCCCGAGGGGTTATTTTGGATGGAGTAGCTAAGAAGCCCTCTTTGAATAGACGGGATTTAAGCAGAGATGTGGAGGAAGTGACAGATGAAGCCGCGTGTGTATTTGGAAGAAAAGTCATTGGGGAAAGCAGGTACCAAGGCCCTGTGGCTGCCTGTACCTGTGAGTTGGAGGCACAGCAAGGAGGTCTGGGTTGAGGAGTAGCAGATGAGGCCAGAGATGTGCCGGTGCCTCGGAGGCCTGGGGAAGGATCTTGGGTTTGTTTGGGTGAAGTGGGAAGCCTTTGGAAGGTCTGGCTCCGGGAGAGATATGACCTGCCTTGGGTGGGTGAAGCACCAAGAACAGGGAGACCCAAGAAGCAGGCTGCAACCACGTGCTGGTGGGTGGGTTGCTGGTAGGTCAGAGGGGTTGGGGGCTGCTTTCAGCATGCGGCCAAGACGGTCCTAGCCGGACTCCACTCCACAGAGGGCAGACTCTCGGAGGGGCCGAACACAGCCCTGGGGGTGCCGGCCTGTTGCTGTTCCACTTGCATCTGATGCAGCCAGGGAAGCAGCAGCAAGGCTGAGGCTCAGAGGGGCCGGCACCAGCCAGGAGGCAGGGTAATGCCACTTCCAGGAGCAATGGATAGCGGAACGGTGCAGTCCCTCCAAGGTGGTGCCAAGGCCCTGACAGGTCTCTTTGGCTAGAATCCTGACCCTGGCTGCTGGCTGGGATGCCAGTGCCTCCCAGTGCTGGCCTCCCAGGAACACTGGGATGACGGGCCGCTGACGCTCAGGACCCTGCTGCACGGCCACCAAATTCCTTCTTTCCATTAATCTCCCTGCCCCATTTCTCCCTTGCTAAGTTAAATGGGCCCTTGGAGGGTGGATATTCTTTTCCCTATTTTATTTTTGCCTGTGATGTAAGCTCAGCTGAACCATCCCTTCCCCAGGAGGCCTCGCCAGGGGCCCTCCACTAACAGCCAGCTCCACTGTGCTCCTCATAGCCCTTGCTAGACTTGTGATGGTCCCTTTACCTGCGTGGTTATTTGGCAACTATCCATCTGTCCTACTAAATGATAAGCTCCCCAGGAGCTGTCTTTCATTTTGGGGGTGAGCTGGAGGCTCCCCGTTGTCTTCCAGACTCCAGTTAATCCCAGATACACAGCAGGTCAGTGGATGTGAGTCCCTGCCTTGGGGTATTTCAGGTCCTGCCTCCGGGTTCAGGACCTGATGGGCAGAACAGAGCCAGCTGTCTTGAGATTGGGGGCTGCAGAGCTGAAGACCCCGTTCGTAAGCGTTCCAAGATGCCTAGCCCCTAGCCAGGAGGGATCGGAGTGCGGCAGGTGTGCCTGGCTGCTGTCACCCATCTGCCGCGTGCCTGCTCTCCCTTAGGTGCTCAGTGTTTCAGAGAACTCAGGGCAAAGACACTTCAGAGCAGTTAGTGGCCCCGCAGCGGACCACAAGGAAGTCTGCAACCCATTCTCAGTGCACCCCGCCACAGCTCAGGAGTCTTGGGGGATGACATTTTGGGTTTTTGCTCTGACCTCATCTCAGGTTCAGGGTTTCACCTCCGGCCCTTTGCAGCAGGTAGGTAGAAAGCGCCCAGCTATAGGCCGAAGCTCTTTGTGGAAGAAAAAAAAAGTTTGGCTAATGACCTGCAGTTCTCTGTGAGCCTGGGCCCACCGCCTAAGGAGGAAGAGGAATTGGCAAGAGTGGGAGAATCAAACCTTTTCTGGAAGCACCAAGGTTAAGAGGGATATTAGGGTCCGGTTCAAGCACCTTGGTTTATAATTGGGGAAACTGAGGCATTGGGAAAGAGGAGAGACCAGAACTAGACTATGCAGCTCAGCTGCTCCCAATTCCTGACACACAGAAATGTGTGAAAGAATTAAGGTTTATTGTTGTTTTAAGCCACTAAGTTTTGGGGCAATTTGTGACATAGCAATAGGTGACTAATATAATCACCTACCTTATCCTGCCAAGTTTGGCTTGGAAAGCCTTTGGCTGCTTCTCAAAATCAGAGTGATCCCTAAAGAATGAAGACTTGTGCTCACAGAGGCTTTGAGAAAGGCTGTCATCCAATGTGGATGATCGTATTGTCTCACAGGGAGTTTGGAGTCGATCCTGAGATAATGGGGACGAAACGGGGAGCAGAGAGAGAGATGGACACAGCCAGGGGAGGGGGTGCAAAGAACCCAGATCTGAGAGCAGGGGCCTGGGATGGGCCTGGCCTCTGTTGCTTGCTAGCCACACGTCTCTGATGAGTGACTCAGCTCCCTGGGCCCAGGTTCATCATTTGTCTAATACTCAGCTGACAGTGCTGTTGTGAGGTTGACAGTCTGTTCCCCCAACAGCAGTCAGAAGGATCTAGTTAAATTACAAATCCGATCATGTCATTCCGGTACTTAAAACCTGTTAGTGGCCGTCACAGTGCCCGGATAAGGCGCAAGGCCCCAGCTGGCCAGCACCACAGCTCAGCTGTGTCTCCCTCACCTTTCCTGCAACGCCTCCCACCTTCCCCGCATGCAGCTCTCTCCCACTTGCTAACTGCCCCGCAACCTCCAGATCTCACCTGGAATGGGAAGCCACCTGACCACTTCAGCTGCTCTGTGTGGTTCTTATCATTGCCAGCGTGTTTGTGTGATAAACCATAAATGTCTGCCTCCCCTACGGGTCAGTAAGTGCCATGGGGCGGGGCCCCTCTGTCTCATTCCTGGCTATCGGCACAGCATGGGCACATTGTAAGTGCATAAGTGCTTGTGTGGAATGAATGAATGAATGAGCACACAAAGGGTGCCTAGTACTGTGCAAATATTGTTTGTGTCCACTCCTCCCTCCCCTGATTCCACACAGGCTGCAGGAGCTCCATGGGGTCTCACGACTCAGGCCAAATAAACCTTACAGGCACAAAAGCTGACAGATTTCCATTGTTCTTAACTTTGGTTAAGCATTGAAACTACCTGCAAAGTTTTCCAAAAAGAGATGCCTGGGTCCCACCCTCAGAGATCCTGGTGCACAGATGGAGGGTGCACTGGACATTGGGGTGACTAAAAATCCTCCAGGTCAAGCCTCAGAAACACCGCCCTGGGCAGTGGAGAGACTGGGGGCCTGGCATAGCCCTTCTAGCCTGGGGACTGAGACCGTCTCATGATCTATGACTATTGGGCTGTAAAAAATGAGAGCAATGTGCCGGATTCTGTAGTAAGGACTTCCCTTAATGAACTCAGGTAATCCTCAAAAGAGTCCTATGAAGAGGATAGTATTATTATCCCTATTTCACAGTTGGGGAGACTGAGGCAGGCAGCTATCAAGTCACTTGCCCATAGTTACCCAGGTGGCAGAGCCGGGATTTGAATCCTGGGTGGTCTAACTTCAGGGTACAGCTGCTTATCCACCGCCCTAATTGGTGGAGAGGGACCACGGAGAGGTACCCGCTAACTGCTGTCATCCTAAAGATTGCTTTCCCATCCTCTGAGGGCTCAGTGGGGGCGGGGCTGCCGCCTGTTCAGTGTCCTTTCTGAAAGGACGTGCCTCGAGGGACCAGTGGAGCCAAGATTAGACAGGCTCAGCCCATCCATTTCGGGCTGGGATCCTCAGGACGTTGAAAGCCTTCCCCTGGTGCTGGAGCCCATTGTCAGCCTTAGGAAGAGACGGGTCGCTATGGAAACCTCTGGACTGTACAGACGTACAACCGGCTGGCTTCAAGAAAATCTTTTCATGGGTCTGTCTCTGCTGTGAGGCAGCCAAGGGTCCTCCTGCTAATCGGGCCCCCTGTTTGGACATGATGTCAGGTTAACTCCCAGCGCTCAGCGGCAGCCTGGGTGCACCCTCCCCTTGTCCCACCTGGCACACAGAGACAGCTTTTCCAGCCCTCCCGTGGGAGGGCACATTGGTGGGGGAGGTCTGCTGATGATTGATGTGTGGGGTTGAGTCTTTAATTAAAGTATTCATCATGTGTCAGTCAGCAGAAAAGAAAGTTCAGCTCTCTGCCAGGGTCTGTATCCTGATCATCAACTCAAGAGCCGTTTCCCATGAGGGGGCGCGTGACCTTGTCTAATAGCTGCACTGAGATCTTTTTGAGACTTTTCCAATCTGCTTCTGAGCGCTGCATAGGACAGCATGGTGTCAGTGTGCAGACCTGGCCATGGGACCACACACTCTGACAGTCGGCGCTGGGCTGACCTTTAGCGATCACCAGATCTGTGCTTCTCAACCCTGGCACCCCGTTGGCATCACCTGGGCAGCTTTTTAAAAATATCCACGTCTGGGCCTCACCCCCATCCAATGAAATAAAATCTGAGTGGCATCCTGGCCAGGGTACTTCGTAAAAACTCTGCCTGTGCTTCTGAGGTGCAGCCAGTTCTGAGGACAAATCTAACCCACTCTCTGTACAGATGGGGAAACTGAGGCTTCAGGAGGAGAAGGGATGTGTCCTAGGCATCCAGGTAGCAAGGCACTCGGAGCGTGCGGAATCAGATCTCCATCCCACTGAGCATCCTCAGCTCCAAAGGTGGGATAGGTGAGGAAATGGCTCAGGAAGGGGAGGTGGGTCGCACCAGGGGCCTAGAACCAAAGAGAAAGGGAGGACACAAGATGCTGTCATCACTGTCCCAGCCAGGGGAGTGGGGAGCTGTGCAGGAGAGTCAAACCTCAGCCCCATTACACCTTTTTAAAAACCATGGAAGAGTGATATAACTTTCTTTTTTTCTTTTTTTTTTTTTTTTTAGACGAGTCTTGCTCTGTCACCCAGGCTGGAGTGCAATGGCACAATCTTGGCTCACCGCAACCTCCGCCTCCTGGGTTCAAGCGATTCTCCTGCCTCAGCCTCCTGAGTAGCTGGAATTACAGGCATGCACCACCACACCTGGCTAATTTTTGTATTTTTAGTAGAGATGGGGTTTCACCAAGTTGGCCAGGCTGGTCTCAAACTCATGACCTCGTGATCCGCCCGCCTCAGCCTCTCAAAGTGCTGGGATTACAAGCGTGAGCCACGGTGCCTGGTCTGAGTGACATAATTTTCTAGTAAAAGTATACTCACAGACCAGCAGCATCAGCATCACCTTGGAGCTTGTCAGAAAGAATCTTTTTTTTTTTTTGAGACGGAGTTTTACTCTTGTTGCCCAAGCTGGAGTGCAATGGCACGATCTTGGCTCACTACAGCCTCTGCCTCCCAGGTTCAAGCGATTCTCGTGCCTCAGCCTCCTGAGTAGCTGGGACTACAGGTGCGCACCACCATGCCTGGCTAATATTTTGCATTTTTAGTTGAAACGGTGTTTCACCGTGTTGGCTAAGCTGGTCTCAAACTCCTGACCTCAGGTGATCCGCCCGCCTCCGCCTCCCAGAGTGCTGGGATTCCAGGCATGGGCCCACCGCACCCAGCCAGAAAGAATCTTAAAACTGAAGCTTGTTAGAAAGAAGCTTAAGTCCACCTCAGACCTATTGAATCAGAGTCTGCACTTTAACAAGACCCCAGGGAGATTCATATGCACATTCAAGCACGAGAAGCCCCGTAGCGATGGGCACTGGGAGGAAGCTGCAACATGTGGGTTCTGGTTGTATGACCTTCAGGAGGCCCTCTTCACCTATTGCAGCCACGATTTCTTCATCTGTGTATGGGGATAACTGAACCTCGGTCTATCCACTCCCCATCAAATCTGGAAGGACCAGAGATGGGGAGGGGATTGATTGAGTTCACACAGTGAAAAGATGGCAGAGCTGCAGTTAGCAGCAAGAGCAGGGCGTCCAGCCCTGCATTGCCTCCCTGTGGTGGGGTAGGCGGGTGAGAGGGGGAGGAGAAGTTGGAGGGGTGCTGCAGATATCACAAACACTCCAAGAGGCCTCCAGATTCTTTTGCTATTCCAGTTTGCCTAAGTAGATGCGTTGTTAGAAACCACATCTTCCATCTGGAAACCCCAGGGATTTGGTTTCCATCCCATGTCTTTGCGATCTAAAAAAATAACAAAAGATATCAAAACAAAAGTTTGTGCCAAGGAAGAGAAGTCATTTGAACTAGAGGGAGAAGAATGATGTGTCTACCTTCCTCCTCCTCCTGACTTGTTCTTGGCAGAGTGTGTGGGCAAGCCTGTGCCTGCTGTGCCTCTGTATGCATGCATGTTGTGTGTGCTTATACACATGTGTGTGCAAGCATTTGTATGTCCGTGTGTGTGCATGGCTGTAAATGCATGTGTACGTCTGTGTGTATGGTGTTGTGCATTTGTGTGTATGCATTATATGCGTGTAAGCATGTGTGATGACAGAGGGTAGATATGTGCGTGCATACTATGCATGAATGTGTTCATGCATTGAGCATGTATGGGGGTGCATATATGTACATGTGTACATGTGCATGGCACATGCCTGTGTGTTCATGTGCATTTTTATATACACATGTACCAATGCATGTGTCTGTGTGAGCATGCATGCACGTGGCTTTGTGCACATGATGTGTGCATGTGTGTTAAGTGGTAATGGGACATTAGGTGACTTAAAGCTTGAGTTCAGGAGTGGTAGAGACTGGAAAGCCCAGGAAATCCTTGACATTCAAGAATTTAACATGCAGTTTTGGGTCGTTTCAAATAATCCAAAGGTCCGTGGCTGGTACTAATTTGTAATTTTGCTGGGGCAAAAATGTCAGCGTGGAACTGAGCTAGTGAGTGAGGCCAGCTGATGACCTGGCAATAAACACAGCTTCTTTCTGGAAAATGACCTCAGAAGAACTCCAATTGCTAGTGCTAATAATGGAGAGAAAGATGAAGGTATCTGGGAATGTGTTGGCTTTTAGTCTGAAAAGTAGGAGCAAGGAGTGGATTAAAGAGTGGAGAGTTGAACTTGGCCCTGGCTTGAATCTTTGGTCCAAGTGAGCCCACCATATGCTGCTCTCAGTGGAAACCAGGAAAAGTGATTCCCCACGCAGCTCAAGAGCCTCTGGAGCCAGCAAAGAACAGCTCAAGTGAGATTGGAGGCTTCAGGCCTCCAATGTGTTAATAACTGTGGAAATGGCTTTGGTTCTGTTCTTATAGTCATTAAATGTCCAAGATAGTAGCTTAACATTTCAGTTGCGCTTTGCTCCTTTTAAAGAGGGATAGTTTATGCAGAAGACAGTATTTCCCAGCGTGAGATTCTTAGAGATCTTGTCTTATTTCATGTGAATGTCAAGGGCTCACAGTAATTGTAAGTATCAGAAAAAAATTGGGATACAGGTGCGGTGGCTCACGCCTGTAATCCCAACACTTTGGGAGGCTGAGGTGGGTGGATCACTTGCACCCAGAAGTTTGAGACCAGCCTGGGCTACACGGCAAAACTGCATCTCTACAAATAAAACAAAAATTAACCAGGCGTGGTAGCGCATGCCTATAATCCCAGCTACATGGGGGGCTGAGGCGGGGTGGGAGGGGATCATCTGGGCGCAGGAGGTCGAGACTGCAGTGAGCCATGATTGTGCCACTGCACTCCAGCCTGGGCGACAGAGCAAGACCCTGTCTTGAAAATAATAATAATAAATAATAATAATATTTTAATAGCTCAATGATATTGAAAGCTGATGGTATGTTGGTACCGAGCTAAGGGCTTTTATATTAAGTAAAATTACACTTATATTAAGTAGAATAATATGATTCTTCACTTCTAGGAGTGTTTCCTGGTAAAACTCTATAAATCCTTTAGAGGCAGCTAGAATTGTTACCTCCTCTGAGAAACTTTCCTATTCATGTTAGCAATTACATTCCTTAATTGCAATGTCTGTCTGTTTCCCTCCTGCCCCCCAGATTCCTTGAGAAATTTATTCATCTGCCTCCAGCACCCAGAGCCGCCAGGGCCCAGAGAGAGCTCTGTGTTTGTGGAGTGAATATTAAATGTCCTATGAATTCCACTCCCCGCCTTTCTGGACCAAAGCCTTTGTCTCTGTTCACTTCCTCTCATTTGAGATAAAATTGATTTGGGCTTTTCGAATTCAAGTTTAATTTCTCATAAAAACACTAGAGAGCTGAGAACGTCCTCTCTTGGGGCCCAAGCTCTGTCTCCAACAGGCAACACACCGGGAAGCCAAGAGCCTAGGACGGCAGGACAAAGGCTTCCCCGCAGCCCAGGCTCAGCTCAGTCCACTGCAGTCTCCTCTCCCAGCCTTCTCCTTGCAGATCATCATCTCTCCTGATGGTCACACCCGTCTGCCTGCGCCTGGGTCCCAGCACTTCCTCTGTCTCCAGAGTCCCCTCTCCAGCAATCACCCCTTCCTTCTCCCCAAAGCATCCTCCTCCTTCTCTTCCGGATCTTTCTCATCAGCATTTCAGTGAGTTGAAGTCTCTCCCTCTTAAAGAATGATGATAATACTAACAGCCACCCTTCTAGAACACCTCATTCCCTTCTATTTTGCCTCATGTTCCTCTTTCAGTTTTACAATTATGCTTATTGAAATTTCCTGGGTTTTTTTGTTTGTTTGTTTTTGTTTTTTGAGACAGAGTCTTGCTCTGTCATCCAGGCTGGAGTGCAGTGCCTTGATCTGGGCTCACTGCAACCTCTGCCTCCTGGGTTCAAGCGATTCTCATGCCTCAGACTCCCAAGTAGCTGGGATTATAGGTGTGTGCCACCACATCTGGCTAATTTTTGTATTTTTAGTGGAAATGGGGTTTCACCATGTTGGCCAGGCTGGTCTCGAACTCCTGGCCTCAAGTGTTCCACCCGCCTCGGCCTCCCAAAGTGCTGGGATTACAGGTGTGTGCCACTGCATCTGGCCCTTATTGAAATTTGTTTGTTTGTTTGTTTGTTTGTTTGTTTTTGAGACAGAGTTTTGCTCTCGTTGCCCAGGCTGGAGTGCAATGGTGCGATCTTGGCTCACCACAACCTCCGCCTCCCGGGTTCAAGAGATTCCTCTGCCTCAGCCTCCTGAGTAGCTGGGATTATAGGCATGGACCACCACGCCTGGCTAATTTTGTATATTTCGTAGAGACAGGGTTTCTCCAGGTTGGTCAGGCTGGTCTCGAACTCCTGACCTCAGGTGATTCACCTGCCTCAGCCTCCCAAAGTGCTGGGATTACAGGTGTGAGCGACCATGCCCGGCCTGAAATTTTTTTTTAAAGAAAGAAAAGAATGCTCTTGGAATTTGTTCACCACCCCCTCCTCTTCCCATGCAACATAGCCTGTCTCCACAGCCTGGGCTCCAAGCCTCCAGTGACCTTCCCGTCACGGGCCTAGTCGACACCCTTCAACCTGCTTCTTGGCAGCTTTTGATATCGGAGACCATTTATTTCTTCTCAAACCTTCCCCTACCCTCGGCTTCCATGACCCCACCAACTTGTCTTCTGTCCGTCTCTCCTTTCTTCCTCCATCCCTCCCCCCTCTGCCTTTCCCTAAGTCACGGCGTTCCTCCTGGTCCTCCTCTCGCTGTATGGCCTAGTGGCCACCCTCTCCATGGCTGATGGAACCCCAGATTTTCACTCTGGTCAGCCTTCTCTCCTCAGCTTCAGACCCTTACAGCCAGGCTCCTGTCAGGCAATTGCACTTGAAGGGCCCCTGGGAGCCTCAAATGCCACATAACACAGATGTGACTCATCTCCTTGATGCTCACCGCAGGAGGCCTTCCGATGTGCACTCTCTCCTCTTGGAGCCCCAGTTGAGTGGGCGGCATCACCATCCACCGGCTTCGCACATGGCAATCCCGAGCCCCACCTTTGCCTCCCCACCCAATGCGACGCCCTCCACCTGGGAGATTCCAGCTCTTCTGTCTCCCACCTCAAACCCGACCCCTCATCATCCTCATGTTGGCTCTCCAGAGAGACTCATGCCATCGGCTCCCACCTGGATAACTGAAACCCCCTCTCCCGGCCTCCTTTCAAACACCCTTCCAACCCACTCACTGCAGCCAGAGGGGGCTTCCAAAAGGTGTATCTGATATGCCTCTCCCTTCATTCATCCATCCAACTCCTGATATATTTATCTAAGACCTACTGTCTGCCAGGCACTACGCTATGCTGGGAGAAGTGTGTCTTAGTCTCCTGTCATTCACATTTTAGCAGAAGAAACATATCATAAACACATTATAAGAAGTCAAGTGATGAGCCAGGCACAATGGCTCACGCCTGTAATCCCAACACTTTGAGAGGCCAAGGCGGGTGGATCACCTGAGGTCAGGAGTTCGAGACCAGCCTGGCCAACATAGTGAGACTCCGTCTCTATTAAAAATAAAAGAATTAGCTGGACATGGAGGCACACGCCTGTAATCCCAGCTACTCGGGAAGCGAGGCTGGAGAATCACTTGAACCCGGGAGATGGAGGTTGCAGTGAGCTAATGTTGTGCTGTTGTACTCCAGCTTGGACCACAAGAGCGAAAAAAAAAAAAACAAAACCAAAACCGTCAAATGATGATCAATACTTTGAGGAAAGAGAAGGCAGGGAGAAGGGGGGAGAGGGATGGATTAGGGAGTAATTTTAGGTTGAGAGGTCAGGGGATGCTTCTCTGAGTAGGTGACATTGAGCTGAGATAGGAATGAAGTGAGCAAGTAAGCCAGCATGGTCCCAAAAGGAAGCACTGTCCAGGCAGAGAACAGCATGTGCAAAAGTCCTGTGGCAGCTGGATATCTCCAGTATTTCCAGGACCAGTAGGCATTTGCCCTCTGTGCTCCAGCTACATTGAACTTCCAGTAGGCACTGTCTTGCCTCTAGTCCCTTGCCCACTCCATTCAGAAACATCCTCCCTCATTCTTCTGGTTAGCCTTTATTTATCTGTTATATTCAACTCCAGCATCATCTCCCCACCCAGGGAGGTCAGTCCAGAACCTCACCCTGGCTCGGTTAGAGGCTCCTCCTCGAGCTTTCACAGCACCTATTATAGCACAGACAGATTATATTGCAATGGACAGTTCAGGGGCTGCTTTTGGTTCTTCGTGGAGCAGAGACTGTCTGAATCATTTCTGTGTCCTGAGACTCTGACAATGAAGAAGGCTTTGGTGAATGTTCTGATTATGTTGCTGCTTAACCACCCCAAATTTAGTAGCATAAAACAACCACTTTATCCTGCTGTCAGATTCTGTGGTCAGGGATTTGGCCCACGCACATCAGGAATGGCTAATCTCTGCTCTGCTCTGTCTAGAGGATGCCCATGGCTGGGGCTGGAGGCTCCTGCACCACCGTGCCTGGCCTTCGGGCTGGATGCAGCTGGGACTGTGTCCTGAGCACCCCCACATGGCCTCTCCTCATGAAATGGGCTTCTCACAGCACAGCAGCTGGGTTCTTAGCAGGAGCATCCTGACAGTGACAGAACACCCTAAGAAAACCAGGCAGAGCTGTGTGACCTTTTCTGACCTGGCCCTAGAAGTCACAGAGCATTACTCCAGTGCACACCATTGGTCAAAGCAATCAGCATCTTGCCCTGATCAAGGGGAGGGGCATAGACTCCACCTCTTGATGGGAGGCACGCCAAAGAATGTAGGGGCTGTGTCTTAAAACCCGATATTGAACATGTGTCAAATGATCCTGATGACCGACGTCTGTACCCCATGTGACAAATCGCCAAGTGCTTTGGTGTCCACCTTGTGTGGTCCTCACTGAGAGTCCAGGATGAAGAAATGGAAGAGTCCATGCTGACCAGGGTGGGGGCCCCAGTGGGAATGCTGCTCACCCCCAGGTGCACCTGCAAGGAGCCTCAGTGACACAGAAATCATTATGGCTGGTGCTTATGATGTGCCAGGCACCATTCTAAATGTTTCACAAGTAATAAGTCATTTAGTTCTCATAACCATCCAGTGAGGTGGTGTGATTATTCCTATTTTACAAATGAGGACGCTGAGTCATGGAGAAGATACGGAGGAGCCACAGCCAGAACTAGGGTGAGGCAAGGGAGGCAATTACCTTAAGCACAATACTTCAGATGCCCCCTCACCCACAAAAACCCCCAGGAATCAAGGTGAATAATATTTTCATGTTTTTTATATATATATATATAATGCTACTGTTAATATTTATATATAATTATAATTTTTATTATATATTGTATTATATTTATATTAATTTATATTATAATTATAATTCTATTTATATATTATTGTAATTATTATTATTATTTATATATTATCATTATAAATTAATGATATTTAGTGCTATCATTAATATAGATAGATAGATAGATAGATAGATAGATAGATACAATTTTTTGAGACAGGGTCTCACTCTGTTGCCCAGGCTGGAGTGCAGTGGCATGACCATAGCTCACTGCAGCCTCAACCTCCTGAGTTCAAGTGATTCCCCCATCTCAGCCTCCCAAGTAGCTGGGACCACAGGCATGTGCCACCACACTTGGCTAAATTTTTGTGATTTTTGCAGAGATGGGGTTTCTCCATGTTGCCTAGGCTGGTCTTGAACCCCTGGCCTCAAGCCATCCTCCTGCCTTGGCCTCCCAAAGTGCTGGGTTTACAGGTGGGAGCCACGGTTCACAGACTTATGTAATATTTTTAAAATAAAAATTAATGCAAAAAATCCATAAGGAACAAAATGTCAAAAATTTAAATAAAGACAAGATCAGTATTGAGGTGATATTCAGCCCAGTCCACTCAAACTGCAATTGACCTAGGGACCTGTAAACCTAAGAAGAAATGCTTGTTGTTGAGAACTACTGAATTTTGGGGTGGTTTGTTACACAGCACTATTGCAGCAATAGCTGACCAATACAAAAAGTCATTTGCCTTTTAGCAGATGAGCAAATGGCAGACGTGAGATTTGAACTCAGGCAGCCTCAGACCAGAGACTACGTTATGAACAAGCCAAATGCTCTGCCTCTCTTACTGAGGGGCGCATTAAGGTGTGCACCCAGGATACCTGGGTTGGTTCAATCCTGAACTCTCTAACTCACTTTCCTGCTCAGGGTTCCTCTTCCTAGATGAGGTAGGGGTCCCTCTGTGAGTGCCATTCCCCAGACCCCTTTATCTGGTGGATGACCCTGGCTTCTTCATTTTGGCTGACACTTTAAGAAGGCTGACCTCAGATTCCAAAGTAAGGTATCAAACCAAGAGCAAAATTTTCAAAGCATTTGGCCAAGAACCAGCTCCTTGACTCTTGTACTTCTCAAGATATACAATAGTCAGCAGGAAGAAGATTTCCTGGGAAAGAGAATCACTGTTGAGCACTACAGTATGCTGTGACAGGGACTGCCCTTAGCTCAAGCCTAGAGAGCTGGACATGTGTCCCTGGGCAGAGTGGCTCTGTGGGCCACTGTCCTCTGCCTGATAAATCTCACATGTGACAGACTGGCTGGGTTAGATGCTAAAGATCCCAGTAAACTCAGAGCAACTTACACTCTTAGAGTTGATTGGGGTAGAGGGTGTGAGTTTCATATGCGCCAGATGTGGGCTGACCACAAGAGGAAGCTGGCATGGGGGTGCCTCAGGCCCTGTCCGATAGAACACCCCAAAGGGGCAAAAAGCCTCTGCACAGAGAATCAAAAGGCGTCAGAAGATTCCTTGGGGCTGCGGAGGGACTAAGCAACCAACCCAGGTTTCTTCTGTCTTCCGGTTCCTTCATCTCTAGGACCTTGTCACCATCTGCCTAGTTGAAGCCACTGCCACATTCAGGTTCAGCCGAAGGGATAGGGGAAGAGAGTGTGGAAGAGGTACACCCGGAAGATAGAGATGCATAGAAGCCTCTGCAGATAACAGGTTCCTAGTGATGGCAGGGAACAATCTCCAAAATAACCCCTGAGATTTTAATGGTATCATTAAACATTGGCCATGCTTGGAACGTGACACCATCTTCCCAAAGTGCCGTAGTAACTAGGCAAGGAAGAACTCCCTGCTCTTCTCCCTCCACCCCCTTCTCAGCCTCTTCTCCCTCCACCCCCAAACCCACCTCCCAAGAATGGAGAAGAGAGGAACCAGAAGTAGCTAAAGAGAGAGAAGGCAAGTGAGAAAAGTGAAGTATCCACCCTTCTCTTCCCAAGTCTCCAGCTTTTTATGTGCAATAGACCACCGCTGGGCGAGGGAGGGAAACTCTTTTGAATGAAGACTGGAAACTGATGATCACACTGGCCAAGGAATTTTAGTTGAGACTCTACTTACTACTTAAAATGTCTGTGGTATATTCTGTTTTCCAAGAGAGATGAGAAAAATCATGGGATAGTCTAAGTTTTCATCTGGGGATGGGGGTTGGATGTGAATAAGTTCTCAGAGCCAATTATTTTTATTTATTTATTTATTTATTTTTGAGACAGAGTTTCGCTGTTGTTGCCCAGGCTGGAGTGCAATGGTGTGATCTCGGCTCACTGCAACCTCCGTCTCCCGGGTTCAAGCTATTCTCCTGCCTCAGCCTCCCGAGTAGTTGGGATTACAGGCATGCGCCACCATGGTTGGTTAATTTTGTATTTTTAGTAGAGACGAGGTTTCTCCATGTTGGTCGGGCTGGGCTCGAACTCCCGACCTCAGGTGATCCGCCCGCCTCAGCCTCCCAAAGTGCTGGGATTACAGGCGTGAGCCACCTCACCCGGCCTGCTCAGAGCCAATTTAAAGCAGCCTTGGGAGCCTAGAGCTGCTTTCTGATTTCATCTGCTAAGTGGAGCTTGTTTGAAGTCAGACTGCCCGTGGTGTCCCGAGGCTGGCCCACTGCATTAGGGTGGCTGTTTGGAGACAACAGGCTGGCCAACCAGATCTCTCCTCCTCCTTTCCACAGTGGAGTCACCGCTGGGCATGGGGCCACCTAGCAAAGGACTGCATCTCTCAGGCCTTCTCATAGGTAGGTACAGTCACATGGCTGGGCTCTTGCCATTGCTAGAAAGTGGAAGTGATGAGTCCATGGCTCTGAAAACAGCAGGTGTACCTCTTCCACACTCTCTTCCCCTATCCCTTCGGCTGAACCTGAATGTTACAGTGGCTTCAACCGTGCAGATGGTGACAAGGTCCTAGAGATGGAAGAACCTGAAGACGGAAGAAACCTGGGTGCCTGAGTGACCAGGTGGAGCAGAGTGACTTTGCCATGAAAAAGAAGTTGGGTTCCTCTCTTGTGACAGCAGCTCAGCCTTTTATTGTGAACGGAAGAGCACCCCATTTTCTGAGTTCCCTGAACCACGTCCAGACACTGCACCCCAACTCACTGGACTCTCCCACTAGAGAGCAACCTCTCAGCTGGCTCAGTTATAAAAGCCCTGGAGACAAAAATGTGCTTTGGAATCAGACATGGTTTCTCATCCAGCTCTGCTCCTTCCTGGCTGTGCAACTTTGGACAAGTGACTTTACCTCTCTGAACTCCATTCTCTCTTATCCAAAAAAGGATTCCAGCTAGCTCTGCCATGAGGATTCAATGACAGGACGCAGGTAAAAGGCTCAGCACAGTGCTTGGCACAGAGTAAGGTCTTCGCAAAGGTCAGCTCCTTTTCCCTTCCCCCATTCCCGGCAGCCTTCACTGCCGAGCCCCTGGCAGGCCTCCCATCAGCCCCCACCAAACCGTGATGCAGACTGAAGTTTTTCTTTCGAGTAAGTGACAGGTTCAGGGAGGTGGAACAGAACAAGTACTTAGAGTTCACAGCGCAGAATTCTTTGAAATCATGTTCCCAATGCTCCCTTCCTAGGGTCGGGGGATTAGCCGGCTATCCTGGGCTTGGCTCTAAATGGTCTCACCATGAAGGGAATTTTCCTACAATCTTATCCTACCCACTGTCCCAGGGCTAAGAAGACATGTGTCTTTCTCCTCTGTGGCAGCCTGTTGCTGTCAACCCCATTCCAGGGCAAGGACTGTGGGATGCAGGGAACAAAGAGTGGGGCTAGAGCTGGGGCTGGGGCGAGCGTGTTCTGTTTGGTGATGATTGGAATGTTGTGAGTTATGCAATAGGAATATTAATTCCTTCTAGTAGAGACCATCAGGGCTGCGAGAGGCTGTTGGTGTGTATCTGGTCCGGATGCCTTCCTCCCGCCTCCCATTTACTCATGAAGAAAAGGAGGCCTGCGAGGGGACGAGACTTATTTCCAGACCCACATAGAGAAAGGGAGTGGCAGCAGCAGGCTGGGCTCCAGCGGGACACCGTGGAGGCCTGTCTCTGTGCACCAGCGCCCTTGTTATGGTTCAGCGCTGATGGCGATGCAGAAGGGAGTGTTCGCCTCCATGCTTTGTGTGTATGAAAACCAGGATCTAGAAAGTGTCCGAGGGACATGCCTCCCACACTGACCTTCTGTGGCTGGGGTGGGCAAAGGATTGGAGGGGAGCTGGGCTGCTAGATTATCAGAAGCTGGGAGACAGGCCCCAGGTAGGCAGAGGTTAGGAGCCGAGCCCCCAGGTAGGCAGGGACTAGAAGCAGGGTCCCCCAGGTAGGCAGAGGCTGAAAGCAGGGCCCCCAGATATGCAGAGGCTGGGAGCGGGCCCCCAGATATGCACAGGCTGGGAGCGGGGCCCCCAGGTAGGTAGAGGCTGGGAGTTCTCCAGCTCCCCACACTATGGACTTGTGTGGTCTCGCCTCCACCACAGCCTGGCTCTGTTTTGTGAATGTCTGTGCAGAGGTTGTGGCTTCCCAATGGACAATGTGGTTCCCAATGAACCTTACACTGCCTGTCTCTCGACCTCCTTTATGGCCTAGCTCCCTGATCCTGCTGGTGGCATTTGCTGATCAAAAGCACAGATGGTTTCCACCTCCCTGATGCAAAATCTTTCTTCAGCCAGACGGAAATCAGACAGCCTCTGGTGTTGAATCTCTGATCTGCCACTTCACCAGCTGTGCCATCTTGGACAAGATATTGAGCTCTCTGAGCCTAAATGCTCAGATGGGGTGAACATGAGTGGGCTTCCCTCGGGGCTGGGTGATAGGATGGCGTGAGACTCGCTGGGTAAAACACACAGGGAGTATTTTACCTCACTGACTTCCTCCTTTCCCTCTGCCCAGGGAAGCCTCTCAGTCCCAGGGGGCACATTCCGTGTTGGTCAGGGCCCAGACCTTCTCCCTCAGCCTCCACTTTCCATCCTCACCCACATCCTGTCTCACTTCACAGGAGTGCTCATGCTGTGGGTTCCGTCCAGAATGTGGTCCAACAAATCCATCACACGCAGGTGGGGGCGTGTCCCAGCCCCTGGGGTGAGTCTAAGTAAGGCTGCCCACGCTTGGCATTTGAGGCCAGATAATTCTCAGTGGGGTGGGGGTGGAGGGGCATCCTGTGCGTTGGAGGATACTGAATGGTGTCCCTGGCCTCCACCCACCAGATGAGAGTAGCAGCCCCAGCCCCAGGCTTGGAAAAGGTTTCCAGAGATTGCCAACTGTCCCCTGCGGGTGAAATTGCTGCTGTACAGGAATCACAAAGAACTCAGACACGGAGATCCTCCTGGAGCTAATGGTCCACGGGGGCCCCTTCTTTGTGGACACAGACACCTCGGTACACACACCCGGAGGACCCAGGAGGGCCAGGCTGAAGGAGGGCATCACCTTCCATCTGGGGGACTTATCCCCCTCTCCCCACACTTACACTTGAAGGTGGACTCAGTGCTGACCCTCAGGGCCAGGGCACACGGCAGGTGCATTTTGGGAGGGAAAGGCCAGCTTTGGTCTGGAAAGGGGCACACCTCCTCTTGGAAATACAAAAAATACACATGGGCAAGGACACGGCTTTGTAACAAACCCACTTTTATTGATAGTGTACACGGAGATCCATGGTGGCGGGGCTGTGCCTGGGTGAGAGCGGGCCACACACCGGTGCAGCCAAGGTACCTGGTCTGCTCAGAAGGCTCAGGCAGTGGGTGGGGAAGGGGACAGAGGCAGGGTTGGAGCTGCTGCTTTGAGCACAGACGCAGGCAGGGGCCAAGGCTGGGGTGCAGGTGCAGGTATGCAGAGCTGGGGCTGGAGCATGTGTACATCTGTGTGTACATCTGTGTGTACTTGTATATACATGGGCATGGTGTACACAATATCTACAGGGACCCTCACAGACTGATCTAGGGAGAGGGTTGAGGACAAGATGTCCCAAAGCCCTGAAGGCCCCAGGGGCCAAGCATCAAGAGAGGGAGCACATCGTGGTATGTACTGAATGCCCAGCGCTAGCTTGCTTCTGCCACCCACAGACTTGCTGTGTGACCTGGAGGAAGTTACTTACCCTCTCTGAACCTCAGAAAGACCCAATAGAAGATCACTAAGGTTCCTTAGGGCCCTAAAACTTCAATATGTTTAGAGAGATTAAAATACAAAATATACTTGTTAAGAGCTGATGACAAGGGCCTTTGGTTTATGGGTTCAAAACCCACCATGCCTGAGTACATGGTGGTACCCAGCATAGCCCAATCCCGGGCACAAGGAGAAGACCCGCCCTGAGCTTTTCTGTCGGATCCCTCCCAGGCTCAGTTCTGGGTCCCAGCTGCTCCTCCCCGCCTCCCCACCGCTGTGTGTGCAGAAGGTGGTGGGGCAGCAGGGGCGGGCAGAGGCCAGGACTGGGGACCCTCTTGGTTTCCTAGGACACAGTGAACCCAGCACCCAGTAGGTGCTTAATAAATGCTTGAGGAACGAGCACAGTAGAGGGCAGCCTGGTTCTAGGTGGAGCTGTACCCTGAATTTGCTAGGGGACAAAGGTGGGGCCTGGTGCTCATCGTGTCCCCTCCGAGTCTCGGTGGTATCCTCTGTGAAATGGGAGCATTAAAAAAAAGCAGTCCTGGCCTGCCCACCCCACGCTTGTGCAATTGTCTGTAAACCGTGGAGCTCAATGGCGGAGGTCAATGTCTAGCTGCAAACAGGCCACGGAAACCCTGTTTGGGAGCAGAGGAGGAAGGCGTCCCGGGTGGAGGCCGTGGATCTGAACTGGGTGAGGGCCTGGCCAAGGAGGGAGTCACTAGGCTTTTACAGTACAATGATTTCCATTTCTACTACTATACATGACACGAAAACAGCTGCAACCACAACAAAGCACAACTGTCGGGCGGAGGGACCTAGGAGAGGAGGCTGAGGAACGCGGTCAGGAGGTGGGCGTGGTCTAAGTGGTGGGCGTGGTCTAGGAGGTGTGGCCACGCCCCCTTCAGACACAGAGTCCACTGGCTCAATGTCAGGCGCAGCTGGGGGCCAACTTGTGTGTGTGCTGGGGGTGGGAGGGGGTGCAGAGGCAGCTGAACCAGAGCGTAAGAGTTGCAGGGCTGGGAGAGAAGTTCTCCCAGCTGCCACCCAAACCAAGCTGGGTGTTATGCCAGGAGAGAGGAGACCTTTCTCATCTGGCCTTCTGTGTCCTTTTCATCCTGAGGCTTGTCCCAGGAGGCTCCATATGACGCAGCAATCCTCACCCCTCTGGCATCAACATTTCTTCCAACCCCAGGAGAGGAAGGTGTAACTTGAGTCTCTGCCTAACTCTTGAGGCTGCAGAGATGTGTCCTCCCACAGAGGAGATGAAACCACCAAGGAGCTGTGGACAAGCGGACTCAGGAAAGCTGTGAGAAGGCAGACGAATGTGCGGAGGCCAGCGCCCGGGGGCCTCCAGTCTGGTGCCTAAGGTCTGTGAACAAGACTGCTGCCGGGGCCTCGGTGGGGAGATGCGCACAGTGGGCATCTGGGGCCACCTCCCTGAAGGCACTGGCCAAGCCCCGCCCCAGCATCCCTCGCTCACTGGATGGTGCACTTGTCCCTCTCACGGGCCTGGCCTTCCCGAAGGACCTTGGCCTTGATGTACTTGAGGTCACTGTTGACGCTGGGGCGGCGGGCGAAGGGCGAGACCATGCCATAGGCGTCCATCTCCTTGACGCGGCGCATGCAGAAGGGCCTGGGGTGGAAGGCGTCACCGTACTGCACGGAGATCTTGCGATGCAGGGCGGGGCTCATCTCGTGTGGCAGCTTGGCCATGCTGAAGAGCACGTAGAACATCTCGTCCACGTTGGTGTTCTTCTTGGCCGACACCTCGAAGTAGGCGCAGTTCTCGTCGCCCGACACCAGCAGCTCGGCCTCGGTGGTGGGCACCTGGCGGCACAGCTCGCCGTGGTCGTTCTTGTTGCCACAGATGACCATGGGCAGCTCCGCCGCCTCCTTGGTCTTGTTCTTCAGGCAGGACTTGACCTCCAGGATCTGCTTCTGAAGGCGCTTGACCTCATCGAAGGACTCCCGGTTATCCAGGCTGAACACCAGGATGAAGACATCCCCTGCAGGGAGAGAGCCCAGGTAGTGAGTTCACCGGCCAGCTGCAACCCCTGCCCTCCTCTGGCCACAGAACATCAGCCCTAAGAGCTGGGAGTCACAGGTGCCCTGAAGCAGTTATGCGGCATAACTGCTTTAACCTACACAGCGACTCTTCGGGGTAGCTGCGATTATTCTCCCTGCGATTATTTTCCAGGACAGGAAACTGAGGCTGAGGGGGTTGAAGCCCCTGTTCACAGTCGCATAGCTAACACGTGGACCACTTGGTTCAAATACAGTTAACTCACTTCACATTTCTTTGCAGGGCTGGAGAGGGGTAGGTCACTTGTGTGGACTGTGTTCAGATAATAATAAAAATCATTTCTATGAGAGCAGGGGTCCTGCCTGTCTTGCTCAATGCCTAGTTTGCATCTGGCCTCATCCGCTTAGCTGCCAGCAGACTTGGGCAGATCACGAAACCTCTGTAACCTCAGTTTCTCTGTCTGTTTCATGAAGATGAAATATTACCTTGCAGGATGATTTTGGGAGTTATGCAAGATAATGAATGGACAGTGGCACATGCTCAGTGACCTCAGGTGTCAGTAATGATGAGAGTGAGGGCCTACTGGGGGCTAAGCACTGGGTGTATGCTCCAGGCCCGTTGTTCTCTTGATTCCTCACTATGCCTCTGTCAAGATTTTGTTACCTTTGCATTACAGGTGAGCAAACTGAGGCTCAGAAAGGGTATGCAGCCTGCCCAAGATCACACAGCTTCCGTGTGGCTAGGCTGAGATTTCTACCTGATTCTGTTCTCACCTAGCTCGTGCCTGGCACCCGGTAGGTGCTCTCTGCTTCTCAAATAAATCATAGGATGAAAAAGTGAGTGCTGGCCTCCAAGGCCCACACTGCCTCCAGGATAACTCACTGCATCACTCAAGGCAGGCTTGTGAATCTGAAACAGGGGCTGCTGTGGAGACGGTGGGGTGGTGGGGAGGCTGTCTGGACTGGTACCTCCATCCTGATTTCCAGCTTTTAATAAGCACCTTCCTCACTTTTGCTTAAACTTTTTTTTTTTTTTTTTTTTTTTTGAGATGGAGTCTTTCTCTGTGGCCCAGGCTGGAGTGCAGTGGTGTGATCTTGGCTCACTGCAACTTCCACCTCCTGGGTTTAAGCGATTCTCCTGCCTCAGCCTCTGGAGCAGCTGGGATTACAGGCGCCTGTCACCATGCCTAGCTATTTTTTATTTATTTATTTATTTATTTTCTGAGACAGAGTTTCACTCTTGTTGCCCAGCCTGGAATGCAATGGCAAGATCTCAGCTCACTGCAACCTCCACCTCCTGGGTTCAAGAGATTCTCCTGCCTCAGCCTCCCGAGTAACTGGGATTACAGGTGCCCATCACCACACCTGGCTAATTTTTTGTATTTTTTAGTAGAGACGGTGTTTCACTGTGTTAGCCAGGCTGGTCTTGAACTCCTGACCTCAAGAGATCTGCCCACCTCGGCCTCCCAAAGAGCTGGGATTACAGGCATGAGCCACTGCGTCCAACCACTTTTGCTCAAACTCTTGATAGCCTTGTGGTGTGACAAGATCCCTGTCTCACAGATGAGGAAACTGAGGCCCAGAGGAATCAGCAATTGGCCCAAATTCTTGAGAAGAGAAGCAACCAGTTCCAGCTTCTGGCAGAATGGCTGCCACCTTCCTCTGCACCCCCAGAGCACATCATTTACCCCCATTTAATGGCACATGGCACATTCAGAATGGTGTCCAGATCAAAGGTGTGCTCCAAACAGCTCGGGCACAGAGAAGGGTTCCATCACCCACTCGTCCTGGTCTCCCCAGGGCCTGGCACACAGTCAGTGTTAACCAAGGAAGCCTGAATGGATGGGAGGTGATGGAGGGAACTGCAGTGTGGGCTCTTCTGAAAGGCACTTGCGAGGCAGCGTCAGCTTGGCAACTCTTCCTGCTTGGGCTGCCAAACCCCATCCCGTTAGGCTAATCCGGGGCCCCTGAGGACTCGTGGCCTTGACATATTCAAATGCGAGACTGCGATGCCAAGCATCAGAGATCGGCCCGTCTGGCAGCTGGAAGAAGAGCTGGCAGTGGAATTAATGGCTTTCAGAATTTCCTGAGCAGCAGGAAAATGAGGTTGAAAAAATGAGGTTCCACCAGGTTGGAAAATGAGGCACGGGTTGGTGTGTGAAAAAAAAACAAGCATCAGACAGCTGTGCTCAGAATGATATGCGCCATAAAAAAGAGACAGACAAAAATACTCTCCATTGTGGGGATACAAATACGAATGCCGGTGTAGTCACGGAGGCCCGGAAGGCTCCATGCCAGACTGCCAGGGTGGCCACCTCCGGGGCAGGGGCAGGAGCCTGGGATTGGGGACATGGGTCAAAGGGGCATTAGCTTTATCTGTAGCGTTTGCAGGAGGGTGTGTTTGGGTATTACTTGTGTCACTGAAAATTAATGCTGAAAATATGCATGTGCTTCCTCTCTACATCTCCCCTCTCCTTCCCTCTGTCATTAGCCTTATTCATTGCAGCGGGTACCCAGTCCCCTCCCCAAGGCTGGGGGAGCTGACACCAATGCAATACCCGTCACGTGCTGGAAGCTCCCGCCACAAGCCTTCTTGCAGTCCTCACAGCCTCCCTGCGGGGTATGAGGTTAAGCCCACTGTGTGGCTGGGGAGGCTGAGACTCAGACAGGATGCATGTGCCTCTGGTCACACATTTAAGCCAAGAGGCCCAGCAAGGATTCGAACACAGGTCGACCCAGGGCTCTCCTATCTACATGCCCCTTCTCCAAAACTCGGGGTGGAGCGGAGAACTTGACTGCTGTCTGGGTCAGATGCTCGGAAAAGCCAGCCTGGAAGAGAAAGCACTCAAGGAGGGGCCACCCCGCAGCCTCAGTCTTGGCCTCAAGGCGGCAGCAGGGCTGGGAGTGGCATGGGTTTCTCTGTATAGAAGTACCTCAGTTGGGGGGTTATCTGAATGATGCCTAGAGAGTTGCCTGCTCACTCCTTCCCTTATCCCTGCTCAGCAACTTCAGGGGCGTGACTTGGGAAATGATCGTGTAACCCGTAGCAGGCCCACTTGCAAATGCTGACTCAACAGAAGACTTGGGGATTTATTGTGCATTTACTATCTGCTCACCAAGCGCCTTACATATATTCATTCATTTAAGTCTCACAGTCCCTTTAGGATGAGTGTTGATGTGGTGCAGTCTTACAGATGAGAGTGCTGAGACACAAGGAGATAAAATCCCTTGCCTCGAGGTACAAAGCCAGGAAGCAGCGGAACCAGGGCTCACACCCAGGTGCTGGGTCCCGGGCTTGTCCTCTTAGCTACCATGCTAATGCAGTGTAAACAAGGGCACAGCCCCTCAGCTCCACTCACCCCTTCTTCCCCCCAACCTCCCTGTCCCTCCTCACCCTTCCCAGCAGGGCTGAGAGGCTGTGGTATGGCTTTGTCTGAAAGCACAAAAGCAGACTGCCTTTACGAGCTGTGCTACCACTGGAGTGAGTTACTTAACCTCTCTGGGCTTCAGTTTCCCCACTTGTAAAAAGGGAATGAATAACTATTTACTATGAGGGTTAAATAACTACATGCTGGCTGGCCGCGGTGGCTGACGCCTGTAATCTCAGCACTTTGGGAGGCTGAGGTAGGCAGATCACGAGGTCAGGAGATCGAGACCATCCTGGCTAACATGGTGAAATCCCGTCTCTAGTAAAAATACAAAAAATTAGCCGGGCATGGTGGCACATGCCTGTAGTCCCAGCTACTTGGGGGACTGAGGCAGGAGAATCGCTTGAACCCGGGAGGCAGAGGTTGCAGTGAGCCGAGATCGCGCCACTGCACTCCAGCCTGGGTGACAGAGCGAGACTCTGTTTCAAAAAAAACTACATGCCAAGCTCTAAGAACAGGGCCAGGCCCATAGCTTCTGATAAGTGTCAGCTAGTGCCATCACCATCACTATGACCATGACCAAGCCCCCTTCCCTTTGGTGATCACTGCCTGGGTCCTGCCCTTACCTCTCTAGGAGGTGGCAAAGGCCTGGGGTGTGGGAGACCTGAGCCCCGTGGACTGACCTTGGGCCCTGGAGCTCTGGTGGGTCATCTTCCGGAGAAGGAAAGCAGCAGCCAGGGCATCATTCTGTTCCCTAGAAAGGAATATCCCTGGGGCATGCTGGTATCAGCTCCTGATCTGGAAGGCGGCCCCGACAGCCATGAGTAATCGATCTGGAGTCTAACAGAATGGAATCGGGGCCCCCGACTTCATCACTATTTCCAGCACATGGCAAAACCTCTCTGAGCCTCATTGTGCAGGGATGACGCCTGTCTCAGACGATGGCTATGCAAGTCTATGCAAACTGCCAAGTGCCCAGCACACTCCGCACCCATGCCCTGGCCCTGCCGCCCCAGCCCAGGCACCAGTGGGCCTCACCTGTGAGGATGGACAGCCTGCGCATGGCGGGGAAGGGGTGGTTGCCAGAGGTATCCAGGATGTCGAGCTGGTACATGTCGCCGCGGATGTTGTATACCTTACGGTGGAAGTCCTCGATGGTGGGTGTGTACTGGTCCTCAAAGCGGCCATTGAGGAAGCGAGACACGATGGAGCTCTTGCCCACCCGAGAGGCACCCAGCACCACCATGCGGTATGAGTTTTTGGCGGGCACACTGAGCGTGCAGTTCCCGCTGGACAAAGTCTTCATCATGGCTCGGGGCTGCAACAAAGCGAGAGAAGCAGGCATCAGGGCCCCCCCGACCTGGCCCCACCACCTCTTGGCCTCCTCTAGGCCTCTGTCTAGGACTCAGTTTTCTGTCTGTAAAATGGGAACATCAGACGAGGTTCTAAGGGGTCTTGGAGTTCTACCCTCTCATTCATTCATGCCCTCTCCTTTACTCCTTCCTTCATCCACTCACTCACTCAATATCCGTTCATTCATCCTTTCATTTATGCAAGCACCGGACTCCTGGGATTTGAATCCTTGCCTTGCCTCTAGCTACTGATCTTGGGCTAGTAGCTTAACCTCTCTAGAAGTCACTTTTCTCATCTGCAAAATGAGCCCAATTCATAGAGTTGTTGCAAAGGGCTCAGCACATGGTGAAATCTCAAAAATGGTATCTATGGTGAGAATCCGTTCTTTCCCTGGTTCATCCATCTGGCTTTCCCGGAGCCTGTGATTCTAGGATAAGACATGGGGAAGGCACTAGCATGCATTTCTTAAGCCTGGGGCAGGGGGTGGTTCTGTGGCCATTCAGCCCTCCTGGGAAGAAGGGAAGGCTATGTCCACACCGCATGCTCCAAGCCCAATGCCTGGGGTTGCTCCTGCAGCCACCTCAGGAGGACCCACCTTTAGACCTGTGCTCTGCATCTGGCGGGCTCCCTCCGCTCCATGACCTGCCCGGATATTTTTGCCTCCCAGGCCCTAGGTGTTTACTTGCCTCCAGGAGACCCAGAGGCCCGGAGTAGAGGATGTGGAATGGGGAACGACCCATGGCTGGCTCAAGCTTCCCTCCCAACTCCAAGGGTTATGGTTCTGGGGCAAACCCAGAGCTTTCTATGGGAGCCTCTTGACCTCATGAAAGAGGCCGACATGGATCCAAGCTCTTGTATAAGCAAACCCGCAGGCTCCACCAGGCTCACCCCAAAGGCTCTTCACAGCCCAGCCCTCCCTCCTTTCCTACCTTAGCGCCCACCAGAATCCCCGCCCCAGAACCCCTGACCCCAGTCACCCTCGTCAGTTTGAGCTCTGCTGAGATCAGCCTCCACTCCTTTGCTCATGCCACCCCTCTGCAGAACACCCTCTTCCCCTTATGTTTCAGGGTCTGGCTCAAGTGCCACCTGCTCTCTGAAGGCCTCTCTGATCTCCTCACCCTTGCAGGAATCCCTCCCCTCTCCAGAGGAGAGCTTTCCAGCCCCTGAACTGCAAATGGGCACAGGCCTGCTGAAATATCAATCCCCTAGGTCTTCCACAGGCTGCCACAGGTTGTGCAGGTTGGATACTGCACAAGGCGCATGGCTGGGTGGGCAAGTGGGGGCTGCATCCCAGAGGTGGGGGCTGTATCCCAGACGAAAGGGCATCTTGTGTAGAGGAAAAGGCACTGTTTTTAAATTCACACAAAGGGCTGTATGTGCCCAAACTCGGTCCCCACCCCAGGATGCCCCAAGTCGGTTTCCTTGAGTGCCTCGCCCATTGACCCAAGGCGCTTTCCAACACCATCGCTTCCTGGCTATCATGAAGCTAAGGTCTGAGATGGCCACTGGAGGTGGAGAGATTGCCTGCGTGCGAGTCCCTGGCACACATCTGGATCTGCTCACCCTGCCCAACTACCAGCCTCTGTGCAGGAAACCGGCTCTCAAAAATACCTTTGTTAAAAGCCCTATTGCCAATTTCCATGGCGTAAATGCTCCCACTACGGTCACTTCTAAGCTACTAATGTGACTTCGATGAATGAATCACAAAGGGACGTGCACAATAAGCCAGCTCAGCACACGGCGGACCCCAGGCCTGGAGCCACAAGGACGACAACTGCTGCCACTTGAGCCCATGCAGTGTGCCAAGCCCCGCACTAAGTATAGAAATAATCATAGCTGGCATTCATTTTGCAGCTAAAATATGCCAGAGTGTTCTAAGTGCTGCACACATGTTAACCTATTTCTCCCTTCATAACCCCAGAAAGCAGGTGGTGTTATTCTCCAATTTACAGATGAGGAAACTGAGGCACAGAGAGGTTAAATTACTTGCTTACAGTTGCACAGCCAGTAACCAGCAGAGGAGAGGTTTGATCCCAGGTGGTCTGCCCCGAGCTCAGAAGGCTACGTGACTAGCTACTTGGTTAACAAAGGAGGCTGGGTAGTAGTTCAAGCCTAAGACCCCCACATCCCCCACCCAGCTCCCACCTAAAGCTGTCTTTGAATTTATCCCACAAAACTGCCATGCCATGAACAGAGCAGGGGCTCAATAAAGGGTCTGTGCATTCATCAAATGGCAAAGGGCTCTGTCTTTGGGTTTGCCTGAAGCCCCACTCTGGGACCTTCTCTCCTCAGCCTCAACCACCTGACTGGCCCAGGGGCTGTGCCAAGGAGGGCCCTCCCCTAGGGCAGCCCTGATGAGGTGCCCAGGGCATACGTGTGGGAGGCAGGAAATGAGAGAGAGGAGGGTGGAGAGGGGGCTGCCAGACCACAGCAGGGAGCCCTTCTCAGTCTCTGCCGGGGCTGTCTCAGCCAGCCTGGGCCTTCAGCAGAGATGGGGGGAAAGAAGCCCTACCCCATGACAGCCCCCTCCCCAAGTCCTTCTGCAGACAGCTTGACTCTGCTGGCGGTCACTTCTGTCTAAACAGGATGGGAAAGGGGCCAGAAGCTCCCAGGGACAGTATTTGTCTCCATCATTGCCCTGCCCAGCCTCCAGCCTAGAGCTTGGTACAGACGAGTTGATAGCAATGACTGAATGAGCTTCAGGGAGTCAGAGAGAGGAGGCAGGGAGTCAAAGACGCAGAGAATCGGAGAGAGGAGGCAGGGAGTCAAAGAGAGGAGGCAGAGGGTCAAAGAGGCAGGGAATCAGAGAGAGGAGGCAGGGAGTCAGAGAGAGGAGGCAGAGAGTCAGAGAGAGGAGGCAGTGAGACAGAGAGGGGAGGCAGGGAGTCAGACAGAGGAGGCAGGGAGACAGAGAGAGGAGGCAGGGAGTCAGAGAGGAGGCAAAGAGTCAGAGAGAGGAGGCAAGGTGACAGATAGAGGAGGCAAGGAGTCAGAAATAAGAGACAGGGAATCAGGGTGGGGAAAAAGAGAAAAAAAATCCTCTGTGGTTTTTATCTCTGAGAGAAGACTGATTCTTCACATGGCCTGAGCCACGTGGGGCTGTGTGAGACATCTGGACACCTGGACGCCAGGGGACAGTGCCTCTGTGGGCTCCGCCTCCTGCCTCCACATCTTTCTTCCCTCTCTTCCCCCAGAGGTGGCACCATGGGCACCCTCGTAGGCACATCTCTCCTCTGCAGCCTGTTCTCCCTTCTCCATCCTCAGCCAGGCTGACCTCATACAGCGAGGAGCAGACAGGGATGAGTTTGAAGAGCCCTTTGGGAATTTAGAGTCCAATATCAGTGACTGAATGGATTTCAGGAAGTCAGAGAGAGGAGGCAGGGAATCAGAGAGGGGAAGTAAGGAATCAGAGAGAGGAGGCTCAGAGAGGCAGGAAATTCAACGGAGACCCCCTAGCGGCACAGGTATCTGAATGCACATACTGTGACTACTGACCCCATCACAGGGCCATTCTGAGGACAGGTGGAAGCCAGAAAGTTCCCAGAGCAGAGATGAGGGGACGCCATCCTGGGGGCACAGTAACCACAGCCAGGAAGGCATCCATCAGCCCACTTGACTGATGGGGACACTGATGCTCAGAGAGGTTAAGTCACTTGCCCCAGTTCACACAGCAGATGACTAGCTGGGCTGGGATCAGAACCAGGCTGTTTGGCTTCAAAGTCTGGGCTCTTAACTCTATGAAAACCCACCCCCAGCCAAAACTGGTCTTTTCCAAAACACTGTCTGTCTCAGTGAAGCCTCAGCTGGCATCAGGCGGGGGGATGACGCCGAGACATACTATATTCTCACTCCCTCTCTCCCTGCAGGCAGCGGAGCGGAAAGGGGGCAGGCACCTCCCAGGATTCTCCCCTAACCCTGCCAGCCACCTCTGAGCAAGTGCACCTGTGGATTCACCACTTCTCCCTTGAGCCTCTCTCCCAGGGCCTGCCTGAAAGATGAAGGGGTCACACGGGCACAGGCAGCAGGACAAGAGTCTGGACGTGTCCTCCCGGTGTATGCCCCAGAGCCTGTTTCACTGCACTGCCCCTCCTCCACACCCCCATGCCTCCTCCATCAGTGCACACTCAGCCTCTTTGGACACGCACATTGCCATCACTGGCTTCCAGCTGCCACTCTGAGAGTCCGGGAGCTTGGCAAAGCCAACCCCACCACCCTTGGCAGCTCAGGTGGTAGAAGGTAGGCAGGCATCCACTTCTGGCAGGCCAACTCTGCCTCTCACCAGCCCGGCAGCCCTGGGCAAATGACTTGGCTTCCTGGGGCTCAGGTTATTCCTCTGTTAATGGTAAGACATAAACCCCCTGTGTGGCCCTGGGTTTCCAATAAGTCTGGAGGCTGACCCAGCTCTTGACCCGCAGCAAACCTGAACACATGCTGGGTTCTTTTCTTCGTGGCACTTTATCTTGGCAGTCGTGGGGCTGCCTAGAGCAGCCTGGTGAGGCTGGACTGGAATGCAGGCGCAGGTCTTGCAGGGACCCCATCTTGTCTCTGACACCACAGGAGGCTTGATTCACTGGCTCCTGACCTGGCTGCTCCCTCCCAGCCTGGCTTCCCACCTTCCATGAGGTCTTGGACAACATCCCCTGTCATCCTCCTGGTGCTGGGGACAAGGGGAGGGGAGGGCACAGAGAGGCCTCCAGAGCTGCCTTCCGGGCCCTCCAAGACAGCTAAGTTACAGGAAACCCCTCCTGGGAAGGGAATCATCCAGGAAACTCACTCTGCACCAACCCAGAAAAAGCTCAAGAACTCTGGATAACGAAGGAGCTTCTTAATCTTCCTTCCCCACCTCCAGGTAATGCAGGCTGCAGCCAGCTCCAGAAGAGGGACAGGAGTGTTTGTGGTAGTTGACTCGTCTTCCCTGAGCCCCCGTTTCCTCCTATTTAAATGGGCTATTACTCTAGCTCTTTAAATGCAAAGCCTGTGGCACCAAAACTAGCACATAGTAGAAGCTCAATAAATCTTTCTTTCCTGGGATTAAGTCAAGGGTATAGCACTCAGTTTGACACATACAGTAGGTGCTCAACGAATTTAATTCTCTCTAGGTATGCAAAGTTGCCAGACGATCCCGGCACATAGTAGGTGCTCAATCAATTTCACTTTCTCTGGTCATCTAAGGAATCACTGAGCTTTCCTCCTCCAAGCCTCTACCCTTTCTTCCCGGCTGCTCCACTTCCCCCAGATGCCCAGCTCTGTTGGGGCGTCTCCTACCTGGGAATGGCGGGCCGGGCCTCTGGCACGGCTCAGAGAGCTGCCTGGAAGCGCCGGGAGCTGCGGGGAGCTGCCTGCTGCTCCAGCCGCCGAGCCTCCCAGAGTCTGTGGTGGCTCCCGGGTCACTGCGCGGGGATCCTCCCCTGCGCTGCTCGGGACGCCGGGCTGGGCGCGGCCGGGCAAGGAGGCGCAAGGGGCAGGTGCCCCATGGGTGGGCTCCGAGGGCTCGGCGGGGCCCGGGCAGGGGGCGGGCTCCGGCTCGCCGCCGCCGGCCCTGCCCTGCCCCGAGCCGGGGGCCTCCTGCTGAGCCAGGTGCCCGGAGGCTTGGGGACGTCCGATCCGGGGGTCCCCGCCTGGGGCTCTCGGGCTGGGGGCAGAGAGGTAGGGGCGACTCCAGTGATGAAGGAGCAGCTCCTAGAGACTTGGGGAGGGGGGGTCCTTTGGAGGTGACTGTGGGTGCGTGTCCCAGGTGGGCGAACCCTCCTGGTCGCCTATGCCACCTTCTCCGCCTGCCCCAAAGGGGGTCGCTCGGATGGGGGGTATCGGGCTGCCGGGCTCGGCCGCGGCCTCCTTCTCTGCCCGCGGCTCTGCAGCTCTCCCAGCGCCGGAGGGACGGCTTCTTTCTCCCCGCGCGGCGACGCCAGCAGCTGAAGGAGGAGCAGGGCGCTCTGCTCTGCGCGCGTGTGGGAGGGGGCCTTGAACGCCGCCCCAAGGTTTCGCAGCTCCAAGTTAGCATCAACCCGGCTCCTCCTCCTTCACCTCCTCCTGTCCCCAGATGAGGAGAACTTTGTGTGTGGCCCTGGGTTCTCCCTCCTTCCCCCTCTCGCAGGCAGATGCCCCACTGTCACCCGCAGGGCGAAGAGGTCGCTGATCCCTCCGAAAGGTGGCAGAACCCCAGGCTCCTGATGACGGTCCCAGCGGCACCCTCCCGCGCCCCTGCGAGCGTCGCCCACCTGCTCCTTCGGCCCCCCGCGAGCCGCGCCTCCCGCCGCCCAGCGCCAGCGTCTGCCCCCCAGAGCCCGCTCGCCCCGCCCCACCCCGGCGCCCCGCCTCGCCCCGGCGCCCGGCCAATGGGAGGCGGGTCCCGCGGCCCGGCCCCGCCCATCCCTTTCGCGGCCTCCGGGGCGCCGCGGTCTGCGGTTCCGCGTGTCCGGGCGCGTGGGGCCGGGGCCGCTGGGCGCGCGCACCTTGCCCAGAAGGCGGCCCGGGCCTCGGAGGCTGACGTCTGCGCACGCGCTCACACGCACGCCCGGCCTGGCCGCAGGTGACCCGCATGGGGTCCGGCCGCCTGCCCACTCGGCCGGGGTCTCCAGCGGCTTGCGCCCGGCCAGGTCGAGCGCGCCACGGTTCCAGCGCCCTCCTCCTTCGCGGAAGTCCCCGGGTGCCCTCCCAGGTGTCCAACCTGCCTGTCCCAGCCGCCGCCTCCCTCCCGAGCTCACGGTGCCCACGGGACCCTGCGGACTGGCACATGGGCCATGCACGTGTCGCCCAGAGGGGCGGGGAGTCACCTAGGCTTAGTAGCCAGAGGTCTTCGAGGCATGCGAGTCTCAGAGACCACGGCCGACGGGGACACACCAGGTGCCTTGAGCATTGCGTCTCCTGCCTGCATTCTCCCTCCCCACCTTTAAATGAGGGGCTTGACCTAGGCCAGACATCGGGCCTTCTCACTGGGCCATATCTCCACACCACTTATTACTTAATATATTTTTTAAAATATCAGATCCACTTTCCCCACCCCTTAAACACGTTTTTTTAGAGAATCATTATATCACTGCCTTAAATGGGAAATCAGTATCACTTGCCATAAATAGAAAGTAAGAGTTAAAATAAGCACAGTGAAAACAAAGCAAGGTTATTAAATTCCAGCTGGAAACCGTGGCCTGCCAAGGCTTGAGATGTGTGCCCTCAGTGAAAAAGGGAGATTGGCAAGGTTTGGAGAGGTGTTAAATACCCATTAGCACCTAACAGAGACTTTCTCCTTCACATATCAGGAGGCTTAAAAGAGAATGTTCTCGTTGTGTGATACAGCAAAGGGATGGGATGCTGTGTCTGTGTCCCTCAGTTCCAGATCCCTGGACCTCAGGGATGTCTGCCAGCCTCACCCCCAACCCAGATCTGGCCTCCCTACCTCATGAGAGGACGCAGGGGTCTGGGAGGGCACCTGAGGGGTCAGCTCCATTGGCTGAGAGACTGGCGTTCAAGTCCTGTCTCCGTAACTACCTAGATATCTGACCCTGGGCCGTCATGAAAAGTCTCTGGGTCCTGGTTGTGCCATCTCTAAAATGGGTATGATATTGATGGGTCCACAGAATGACAGAAGTACTAAAATGGCCTGGGACTTTGAATATGGAAAGTGACTTGCTTTGCTTGTCTCTGTAACATCTTGAGATTCTCCAGGAAAGTTAACCAGAGAGGATGGGGCAGGTGGGGGTGGAGGGTGCAGTACCTGTACTACCTGATTGTGTTTAATGCCCCAATTTAGGCCACAGAGGGGCTAAGGGGATGTGCCCAAAGTCACCTGGTGGCAAGTGGCAGGATTGCAGCCTGGTGCATTTTCCACATCCAGACTTTGCCTCTGGGAACTGGCTTCAGCCCGGGAGGGTTTGTGCTGGGCATGACACACACAGGCTGTGAGCCTTGAGCTGGCAGTGAACTTGGCAGTGGGAGGTGAGCAGGGTGGCACGCTTCACCTGGAAGGCTGGGGTCAGGAAGACTCAGGTCGCTGGGCCAGCTCTGCCACCTCCATCACGGAAATGTAGCAGACGGCCCAAGAACCAATTGCTCCCTGCTTCTGCAGAGTTGTTCAACAGAATGGGTCATGTCCCACTGACCATATCCCAGTCGCGAGGGGAGCTGCATGTGGAGTGAGAACCCTGGGAGGTCCACTTGCCCCAGCCTCTGTCTTCTGCTCCTGCCCTCCCCCACTCCTGGTATGGTAGGGCTCAGTCAATAAGCAAATACACATAAGGGATCAACTGATGCCCAAGGAAGCTTTGTGTAGCAACAGCACACTTCTCACATGTGCCTATTTTCCCCTTCCCCCCTCCCCACCCACTTGCTTTATCATCCCTCATCAGACCCTTTGTCATAGCTGCCCCCTTCGTCCCTGGGCTCCCTGTCACCCTCTCTCTCCCATATAACCTGTGACCATTTTAGCCCTGTTCTAAAACTGCCACCTCCTGCTCAAGAGTTTTCAAGGGCTCCCCATTGCTTAAGATATAAAATCTTGGGCTGGGTGTGGTGGCTCACGCCTATAATCCCAGCACTTTGGGAGGCCAAGATGGGAGGATCACTTGAGGCCAATAGTTTGAGACCAGCCTGGCCAACATAGCAAAACCCTACTACTAAAAATATAAAATATAATAATTTTATACTAAAAATATAAAAACTACCCAGGCGTGGTGGTGTGCGCCTATAATTCCAGCTACTCGGGAGGCTGGGACATGAGAATTGCTTGTATCCAGGAGGCAGAGGTTGCAGTGAGCCGAGATCGTGTCACTGTGCTCTAGCCTGGGCGACGGAGCAAGACTCTGTCTCAAAAAAAAAAAAAAGATATAAAGTCTAAAAATCTAAATTCCTTATCCTAGCGAACAAGGCCTCCAACCAGGACGTGATTCCCACCATGCCCTGCACTCAACCTCCATTCCAGCAAAATCAAATCACTTCCGGGTCTCTAAAGAAGAGAAGCTATCCCTCCTCTGAGCTTGTGTATGCTGGTTTCTTATCAGGGATACCCTTTTCTCTGTATTTACCCATCAAACTCCTACACATTCTTCAAAGCACTGTGTCCACACTTCTCCCCACAAAACTTACTCCCAGCCTTTCTAATGGTGTGAATCTCCTCCTCTGGGCTCCCACAGCACCAAAGCCTGGCTCTTGTGCTGTGGGTAACTGGTCCTCTCTTTAAGCCTCAGTTTCTTGGCCTGTAAAAGTGGGTGTTACAATAGTAGCTGCCTCGTGGAGTTGTTGGGAGGATTAAAATAAACTGCGAAGTGCTTCACACATAATGGCCTTCACCATGATTACTTCCTCCGTAGCCGGTGTTACTTCCTGCTTCATATTTTGGACACATGCCTCGTCACCCCCATTAGCATGTGAGCTCTTTTGAGTGGGGACCGAGCCTGATTCATCCTTTTATTCTCACATCATTAAGGGCAGCATCTCACACATTATAAGTTTTTAATAAATGCTTATTGAATTGTGTTCAGCCAAACAGTCTCAGAGCAGAAGAAACGTACAAGCTCTCCTTGGACACAGGGAAGGGTGGACAGACACAGTGAAGCAGAGTTTCACTTAGTCCTCCTAACAGCCCCACTTACAGAAGGGGAAACTGAGGTTCAGGGAGACTGTTCAAAACCAGGCAGCTAATGAGAGGCTGAGCTGGGGTCCAAGAGAAATTATTCCAATAGGAAAAAAAGCACACGTCAGGCTGCTTTTCTAGAACAGCAGTTCCTAATGCTGGCGGCGCATTAGAATCACCTAGGGGAGCTTTTAAAAGATACCAAAACCCAGGCTCCCCACTCAGAGATGCTGATTTAATTGCTCTGGAGTTGGGTTTCATCACCATACGGTTTAAAGCTCCCCTAAGTAATTCTAATGTGCACCCAGGGTTGCTAGAGCAGTAATTCTCAAAGTGTGGTCCCTGGACCAGCAGCATCAGCATCATCTGGGACTTGGAAATGCAGAATCTCAGGCCTCACTCTAAGCCGGTGAACCTGAAGCTTTGGGAGTGAGGCCAGGCCACCTGGTTTTAACCAGCCCTCCTGGTGATTCTGATGCAAGCCAAAGTTTGAGAAGCACTGGCCAGAAGATTGAAGTTGGCGATACCATAGAGGTCATGTGGCCCAGCCTTCCTGTTTTGTAGACAAAGAGATGGGGCTGGGCATGGTGGCTCACGCCTGTAATCCCAGCACTTTGGGAGGCCGAGGCAGGCAGATCGCAAGGTCATGAGATCGAGACCACCCTGGCTAACGGGGTGAAACCCTGTCTCTACTAAAAATAGAAAAAATTAGCTGGGCATAATGGCAGGCGCCTGTAGTCCCAGCTACTCGGGAGGCTGAGGCAGCAGAATGGCATGAACCCTGGAGGCGGAGCTTGCAGTGAGCCAAGATTGCGCCACTGCCCTCTAGCCTGGGCGACAGAGTGAGACTCTGTCTCAAAAAAAAAAAAAAAAAGAGACGGTTTGTGGCTTGACCAAGTTCAACACATGCTCATGACAGGCTCATTCTTTCCTGCTGAATGCACCATCCCAGACTACACAGCCTCTAACTGAGTCTCTTGCCTTGGCAGGCCTGGGCATCTGTGCCAGCCTTGAACTTCATCAGAGGTCAATGGGTCACCAGCTGCATAAGCTCAGCTGGACTGGGGCACTGGGTCAGGTGCCAGTCAGTACAGAGGGCAGATAGCCGGAACAGGCTGGCACCTCATCTGGCATTCAAGGCCTCACCAAACATCCCTGAAGGCAGACTGGCAATGACATGGGAGGAGGGGTGCCCCACCAGGCCAAAGATCAACAGGAGCACAGCTGAACCAGCCACACCCTGCCCCCGGTGCATCTGACCATTTCTGCCTCTTGCTGCCCCTCCCCCCACCCACTGAGCCCGATGATCCAAGCAAGCCCCAATTCAGTCAGGAGCCTGGGTTCTAATCCCAACTAAACAGAAGTTTGCTGTGTGACCCTTGAATGGGCCACTTAACGTCTCTGACCCTCATTGCCCGGCATTCTTCCTCCCCTCCTTTATGCTCCAGCCAAAGACACTGACTTGTAGTTCCCTGAGCTTGCCAGGCTCTCTGTACCCTAGGTCTTTGCACATGCTGGAGCCTGTGCCTGAGGGGCTGCTCATCTCTGGATTGCCAGCAGGCTCCTAGCTTTCCTTCTGGAATCAAGCATCACTGCCTCTGGGAAGTCTTGGTTGCTCTCTCTTCTGTGCTCCATGGAGCTGCCTTACAGAAATCTTTTGCTTTTGGATTCAACCCTCACTGTCTGAACTCTTGCTACTCATATCTGAAACTTGGGGTTCCAATAGATTTGGATAATGCATCATCTTTTACTCTCTGAACTTGCTATGTAAACTCTTTTTTTTTTCTTTTTTTTTTGGAGACAGGGTCTTGCTCTGTAGTTCACACTGGAGTGCAGTGTTGTGATCATGGCTCACTACAGCCTCAACCTGCTGGGCTCAAGCGATCCTCCCACCTCAGGCTCCTAAATACCTAGGATTACAGGCATGCACCATCACACCCGGCTAATTTTTAAATTTTTTGTAGAGACAGGGTCTTGCTATGTTGCCCAGGCTGGTCTCAAACTCCTGGGCTCAAGCGAGCTTCCTGCCTCTGCCTCCCAATGTGTTGAAATTACAGGTGTGAGCCACTGCATCTGGCCAGAGCTTCCTATATAAACTCTTGATGTCCAGAATCAATATCCAAATAGGTTTGAAAAGCATGTAATAATCTGTCATGGGGTCCTCGCCCTCTTGAGAGGAGAGGTGGTACTTGTCAATCAGTGGGCAGTAAAAGTTGGATGAATGAATAAATAGTGGTCAGTTTCTTCCTCTGTCCAACAAGAATGTTGGGTGCTCTCTGAGACCCATCCGAGTCTACATTTCCAAGCTGGTTTAATCCCACCACGGGTGATTCAGGTGCCTTCCAGCCCATGTGTTGTTTTTATGCAAATAAAAGAAAGGTTCCTTTCCCAGGCAGAGGCAGCCGTCTTTAAAGCTCTCAGCTTTGAGGGAAAGCTCTCAGTTTTGAAAGGAAAGGCACAAGCTATTTCCTCAGCTGAGTGCCCTTGCACAGTAAGCAACCTACACAACCATACAGGGCAGCCCTTTGTGACCTCATCTAGTCCTTGAGAATGCACCACAGAATATTTTTGCAGGGAACTATGATGACTGTGATCAACCAGGTTGGGCCAAGCTGAGTGGGCAGCCAGGAGAGAAAGAGCTGGAGTGGACCAGAGGCTTGCAATCACAATGAAGACCATTTATGGAGCCCCCACTCTTTGCAGGCACTGGGTGGATCCCTGTAATTACATGGACCCATTTTAGCCAGACCACAACCCTACGTGGAGAAGCATTATTAGAGTCATTTGTAGATGAGAAAACTGAGGCTGACAACACCTGAGCAAGGAAATAACAGAGCTTGAACTAAGTCTGACTGATAGCAACAGCTGCCTGGGCTAGGATCTGCTCTCGGATACAGCAGCAGTAACCACAGCTGCCTGTGTGTATGAAAATGCTTGTGATCCCCATGGAGGCTACCTGTGAAGCATGCAGGGCAGGGTTCTTGTTTCGGTTTTACAGGTGGCAGAACTGACACTCAGAGATATTCCACAACTTGCCCAAAGTCACTTGACTAGTTAGAGGCAGAGCCTGGACTTAAAGATATCTGGGTGTTTGAACAACTATCCTTTGATCTTTTTTTATGATGCCCTGTTGTCTTCTTAAGGCTTGGACTGCATCCCTCTTTCTAATGTCATCATCACCATCATTACCATCACTATCACCATCATCCTCATCATCACCATTGCCTTCATCACCATAATCATCACCGTCATCATCACCATCATCATCACCATCATCACCATCATCACTCTCATCATCATCCCCGTCATCACCATCATCATCATCACCATCACCATCATCACTGTGATCATCATCCCCATCATCACCATCATCATCATCACCATCATCACAATCATCACTGTCATCATCCCCATCATCGCTATCGTCATCATCACCACCATCACTGTCATCATCTTCCCCATCATCACTATCATCATCATCACCATCACCATCATCACCATCATCACTGTCATCATCATCCCCATCATCACCATCATCATCATCACTGTCATCATCACCATCATCACCATCATTCCCATCATCACCATCATCATCATTATCACCATTATCATCACCACCCTTACCACCATCACCACCATCATCATCATCACCATCACCACCATCATCACTATCATTATTACCATCATCACCACCATCATCACCATCACCGTCAGCGTCATCATCATAGCCACCATCATTGTTGTCATCATCATCATCTCTCAAGCCTATGGACCTTTTGCTCCTTTTTAGGTGTTTATTGAGTCCCTTGGCCTGGGCCCAGTGTGGTCCAAATGGAGACACAAAGGCAACACAACTTCCTTCAGCTTTCTCCCTTCAGACAGGATTTGACAGGTGTCTCCTCCATCCTCTATCACATTTGATCCTTCCAACAGCCCTGGGAAACACGCAGAGCAAACTATTATGTGGGAGAGAAGCTGAAGCAGCAAAGGTTCCATGGCAATGGAGGAACAATAGGCCTTCTAGCCTAACATTTACCAACTGCTCTCCTTATGCCAGGCTCCAGCTGGAGAGGCAGGCCCTGTTCTCAGTCTGCTACAAAGTTAACTCATTTGGCTTTCTGAGCAACCATATGAGGAGTGTCTTATTATCCCCATTTTCCAGACAAGGAGACTGAGGCTCAGACAGGTGAAGTAACTGGGCAAAGTCAGTCAGCAATAATTGATGGAGCTGGGATTCTTAGTCTGTTTTTTGGACTCTGGAGTCAGTGCTCTCTCTGCTACAGGAACCACCTCCCATGCAGCTCCCTGGTGCTAACACCTCCTGTTTCTGACCTGGAATCTTCTGTGGGTCCCTTTAACTGGAGGGCACCGAAGAACCTGGGAATTAGCACGACCCTCCGGATTCTGGCAGCAGCTGAGCTGCTGGCCTGACACCTGTTGTCTACAGAGCAGGCACCTGTAAGTCCTCAGTCTAAGAGACACTGGGAGACCAGGCTCCCAGAGGCTTAGCCGAACTCTGTGTGACTTGGTAGCTCAGCCCCAGGTTCCACCTCCATTTCTGGTGTTACTACCTGGAAGCAATGGGACAGAGGTGCCTTTGCCCTTGCCTCTTTCTCGGACACCTTATCCCGCTCCCCATCACCATCGTCCACTCCTTCATTTACCCCTGAGTGCCAGGTGTAGTCGAAAGGACACAAGCTTGGCCACCACACAGACCCAGGTTCAAATCCTGACTCTGCCTCTCACCTTATCTTGGCCTTGGACAAGCTAGTTCTCTCTGAGCCTCAATTGCTCCATCTTTCAAAACGGGCTGTTGTGAGGAGTCATTCACTCCATCATTCAGTCATTCAACAAATACTTACAGAACACTGGGCCGGGAGCCAAGCAGTACTTCGGGGGGTGTGGCACTACCCCAGAGAAACTTTCAGTCCAGCAGAGAAAGCAGAGAACCTAAGGTCTGAGGGATGCATTTGAGTTAACCTGACTAAGAGACAGGGAGAGTGCATCAAGCAATGGGGACAGTACATACAAAGACCTGGAAGAGAAAGAGCAGCGTGTTTGAAAACACTAAAATAGACCCAGATTGGTTGGAAATCAGAGAGAGGGAATAGAATGCAAGATGAGGCTTGAGAAAAAAGCAGGGACCAGATGCACCTAGCACAGCACTTGGCACACAGTAGGCCCTCAATAAATGGGAGCTGCCTTCCCCTGAGGCCACAGCTGAACCCCAAGCCCCAGGTGCAGGCTGCTGATGATGGAGGACGGGAGTCTATTTCCTCTCTTGATCAGCATCCAGCATTTCTGCTAATGCCACATAATACAGTGGGCTCATTACCTCAGAGTGCTGAGCTGGGGAGACGGGGGCAGAGGTTTGCCAACTACCTCTGATCTGCCAGAAATAGAATCCAATGTTCCAGGATGCTAATGACTGTGGCCTTGGTGTATTTCTCTTTCCTTTTAGTGGTCTCCAGTTGATGGAGTTGTTTGATGAAGAGGAAAGCAGCATAGTAGAAGAGAGGCAGAGTCAGCCGCAGCAAACACTGGCTTAAGCCCTAAGCTGATGTATGATGAGTCTCACTCTAGGCACCAAGTGTGTGTCCATGAAGTTGTGCGTAGGTCAAACCTGTGTCATTCACATCTTACTTTTTTTCTAGGCTCCATGATCCCATCAACTTCCGACGGAAGTTTGTCTGCAAATGTGGCCACTGACGATGCCTCCCAAGAGATGGAGTTTATTTTCTCTGCACTGGAGTCTGAGATAATGCGGGACATGCTTTGACCAATAGAATGTGGCAAAAGTGAGGCTGTATCAATTCCAGGCCTGGGCCCCAAGAGGCCTGGAAGTGGCTGGGAGCAGTGGCTCATGCTTGTCATCCCAGTGCTTTGGGAGGCTGAGGTAGGAGATCGTTTAAGTCTATGAGTTTGACACCACCCTGGGCAATAAAACAAGACCCCATCTCTAAAAAAAATTTTTTTTTTAATTAACTGGTTGTGATAGTGTGTACCTGTAGTACTACCTACTCAGAAGGCTGAGGTGGGAGGATCACTTGCACCTAGGAGTTTGAGGCTGCAGTGAGCTATGATTGTATCACTGTACTCCAGCCTGGGCAACAGAGCTGAACCCCATCTCAAAAAAAGAAAAAAAAAGTGGGGGGTGCCTGGAAGCTTCTGCTTTCACTCTCAGAGTCCAGCCACCACCATGTAAGGAAGTTCAGGCTGTCCTGCCAGAGGGAAAGACCATGTGGCAAGAAAGGCCATGTGGAGAAGAACTGACCGCCCTTCTAGAACCTTCTGGCCACCAGCTGAATGCAGCTGCCTGCATGTCCAGCCATGATCACGTGGAGCAGGAGCCTTGCCCAGCTTACCACAGAATCATGGGAAATCATAAAAATATTGTTGTTTTACACCATCAAGTTTTGAAATGCCTGCCTAGTGCAGTGGCTCACGCCTGTAATCCCAGCATTTTGGGAGGCCGAGGTGGGTGGATCACCTGAGGTCAGGAGTTCAGGATTAGCCTGGCCAACATGGTGAAACCCCATCTCTACAAAAAATACAAAAATTAGCCAGGAGTGGTGGCGCATGCCTGTAGTCCCAGCTACTTGGGAGACTGAGGCAGGAGAATTGCTTGAACCTGGGAGGCGGAGGTTGCAGTGAGCCAAGATCATGCCATTACTCTGTAGCCTGGGCCACAGAGCGAGACTCCGTCTCCAAAAAAAAAGAAAAAAAAAACTTTTGGGATGCTTCGTTATATCACAAAAGATTACAGAGATAGATACTTTTGCTTTGTTTCTGTCTTGTAACCTTCAGTTTTGACCAAAACATCTGCGAAAGTACAGGTTCATGAAGTTCCAGGAAAAAACCGGCTTATTCTGGGTGAACCACAGACATCCAGGGAGTCATTTTTTCATCCACTTTTTGTTTTCTATCAAATATGCCTTGTCTCTGCTGTCTCAGCCTCGTTCCACCCCAGTAAGTCCTGTGATCTTTGTTAATCCCACTCCTCCCCCAGGATCCTGGCTCAATTTTGGAGAAAACGTACAAGGCCCATGAGTTTCTGACTCCCTTCCAGCATATTCTTAGCATGTGTCCTAAGCAGGGACTTTACGCCTTCTAGATCTTCCAGAAACTACAAGACACATGAATCATTCTCTTGCTGATATCAACCACCATTCATGACACAATGAAGGTGCAGTTGAGCTAAAAGGTTTACTGCCTGCTCTCTTGCAGGGCATGGGGTGGGAGGACACCTGCCCTGGGAGTCCCCAAGGAACCTGGAGGGCTCTCTGGCCCTCCCTGGGACTGGCACACTCCTGTAATCCTGAATTTGACCACTCCACAGATGTGCCTCCAGTAGAGGCAGAAGCCTGATGAGAGAGCAAGCACTGCCAGGCCTCAGATAGGGCACTCCAGTTCCAAAGACCCTGCTCCCAGTCTCCCAGCTGAGCTTCATTTGCAAACTGTTCCCTGCCTGGCTCAAACTCACACCCCAGCCCCATGAATACCTGCCTCATGGAATGTTTTGATGGATGAATGGATGGGTAGATAAACCTCATGAGTGAATGGTGGGACAACTGAAGAAATAAATGAAAAGGTAAATGAATGAATGGAGATCAAATGAGTGCTACCATTAATGATTTATAAAACTTGCAAGGTCAACAGGCCCTGCCTAGATCCAGATACACTTCAACCACAACTTCTGCCTCTCTGCCGAATGGTGGGGCCATCTCACTCTCTGAGAACCAAAACAAGTCTCCTAGCCACTTTCTCCGCTCCTTCTAAGGCTGCATCAATAAGGATTAGGATTAGTCAACTGCAAGTCACAGAAAACCCCAAATAAAAGTAGATTAAACCAATTTACTTTTCGCTCAGGTAAATTTCTCACTCAGCTAAATGAATTCTGAAGGTGAGATGACTTGTGCTTCACAGGGTCAGAGACCCAGGCTGCTTCTAGCTTTGTGTGCCAGAATTCTGGGGGTGTGGCCTCATCCTCACGGCCCAAGATGGCTGCTTAAGTCCACCCATCACTTCTCAATCCAGTGAGCAGAGGAAAGGGCAGCAGAGGGGACACCCTTTTTCTCTAAGGATACTTCCTGGAAATTGGCCAGAACTGAGTCACATAGCCACACTGGACTGCAAAGGAAGCTGGGAAATGTGGCCTTTACTCTAAGTGACCTCACACCCAGCTAAATTTAGGGTTCTGTTATTAAGGAAATAGAGTAGAATTTATACTAGCGGTCATCCAGTAGGCTCTGCCACACAACAGCTAAAGGAGCCATCTTATTGGGGGCCTACCTCAGCCCACATGCTGACCTGGTGCCCCTTTTTTGTTTTTGTTTGTTTGTTTGTTTTTCATTTGTGTGTGTGTGTGTGTGTGTGTGTGTGTGTTTGAGACAGAGTCTCACTCTGTCACCAGGCTGGAGTGCAGTGGTGCGATCTCAGCTCACTGCAACCTCCACCTCCTGGGTTCAAGTGATTCTCCTACCTTAGCATCCTGAGTAGCTGGGATTACAGGGGCCTGCCACCATGCCCCAATAATTTTTTGTATTTAGTAGAGACAGGTTTCTCCATGTTGGCCAGGCTGGTCTGGAACTCCTGCCCTCAGGTGATCCACCCTTCTAGGCCTCCCAAAGTGCTGGGATTACAGGTGTAAGCCACCATGCCCAGCCCTGGTGACCCATTTTTGTCTGTCTGCTATGAGCATCTTAGAGGCAGGAGATCAACGTAATCATGTGCGTATTCTCAGAATCCAGAGTAGGTTCTGGCACATAATAGGTGCTTATTCATTCAGTAAACAGAAACGTATTTAAGCACCTACTATGTGCTGGGCATGGATCTAGGTGCTGAGAATAGAATGGTGGACAACAGAGACAAAACCCTGCTCTCAAGGAGCTGATGTTCTAGAGGGAAGAGGTAATTAATCAAATAGCTATAAAACAGAATATAATACAGTAAATAGCATATAATAACAATATAAAGTCAGGGAGTGATTGGGTCTATGAAGAAAAATGGTGCAGGCTCAGGTGTGTGAGAGGGTAATGGGGGAGCTGTTGGGGACAGGTGGTCAGGGAGGTGACACTGAAACAGAGCGAAGCAAGGGCTGGGTCAGGTGGGCATGGCAGTAGGAAGAACATCCCAGGCAGAGGAACAGCAAGTGCAGATGCCCCAGAGGGCCTGTGCTTGGCGTGTTCAAGGAAAAGCAACAACACGCCTAAGAATGTGAGCTAGTCATGAAAGAAGTGAAAGAAAGAATGAATGGGCCCGGCACGGTGGCTCACGTCTATAATCCCAGCACTTCGGGAGGCCAAGGCGGGAGGATCACCTGAGGCTGGGAGTTCAAGACCAGCCTGGCCAACATGGAGAAACCCCGTCTCTCCTAAAAATACAAAGTTAGCCGGGCGTGGTGGTGCATGCCTGTAATCTCAGCTACTCGTGAGGCTGAGGCAAGAGAATTGCTT